>NW_017363813.1:0-205827 GCF_000001405.40 Homo sapiens | reverse complement strand
AAGAAGCCCACCTAAAAAAACAAACCATTACTAGTTGTTACCTGCTTTACCTTCCAGGACCCTAAAAATGCATAGAACTATAAATCAACTTTTTGTTAAAAAAGAAATAAAAATGGAAACTAACCCCCCTAAAAGAATTTCTAATCCATCAAAGGAGAGCAGAGAGGAAAAGGACAAGGTCCTGGTTTGCAGATCAGACAGAAACTTGAGGCACGATGGGCAGGACTATGGTTATGGCTTCATGTTGGTTAGGTACACATTGGTTTCATCATAAGATTCAGCCACAAAAAGCCAAACTTTTCTCATTAAAAATTAGTTGTCTATTTTAGTACTGGTAGAAACTGCTAAGATCAAGAAGTCAGAATGGCTTGGGCAAGTAGGAGAAGAAAGAAAAAATCAAAGTCATCCAGAGGATGGAGTGGGAGAGGGTGATGGAGCAGTTCAAAACATGGACAGTCAAACCTGGTCAGAATGCTGGCTTTGCCTCTTACAGCCTCTCTAACCTTGCTTGGAAATTCCCAAACCTTGTAGAATGGGTTCCCTTGTCTGTAAGGGGAATGATAATGTCTCCTTACAGGTTCTGGTGAGACTTGCATGAGACGATGCATACAAAGCATCTCCTAGTATCTCTTCTTCACCCAATCCTTGCACTGCAACAAAGGGCAGAATTTCTACCATTACATGACAAAACATGCTGAGGAATTAGAGATCGCACTCCTACAACTCTTATCAGTACTCCAGATTCCTTATGTATTTTATTTTTAATTATTAATTTTATAGCACTTCCAATGAATACCATGTGACTAGCAAATATTAATGACAATAGGAGTTTAAGTAATTCAGTTCCTCAAAAATAAACAACAACTGAGCAAAAACTACAGATATCACTTAAAGAAACCAAATACCAAAAAACGATTAAATCCCTTAGCAAACAATAATGTTCTCTTGCCATCCTTTTTAAACTTTGACAGCAGAATATAAATCAAAAGAAAATTTCAAAGGCCTATTCTTATTTCAGGGCACAAAAGGGAGCAATCATTTATATTAACATCTTCCAGAACAGTTATAGAATTAACCAAATTCCTAGATCCATCTTTAAATGAAGGTATTTCCTTTGTTTTCAAAATTATGTACATGAATAAATTTCTTCTTTGAAGCACACATCCCACTGAGTTTTATATTCCAATCAAAACCAGTTGGAGTTAAGTCTAAATAACATCTTCATCCAACTCCTAAGACTCATTCTTGTCCCCTTATTTATCCATTCACACATTTATTCAACAAATACATACTTAAACAAATACTTTTCACAAGACATTAAACTAGGTGTTTTCATAAATTCAGGATGAAAAAGATGTAGTTGCCTAAGAGGCAGAAGGACTGTATGGAGATACAGGGAGAGTGGTGGCTGGAAGACAGAGAAATAATTCATTCTAACTGGGAAGTGGTTAACTGAGGAAAACCTTAAAGATTACTAAGAGAGAAGGAAACCTGAGGAAACAGAGGTGTCACCATAAAGGCTAAGTTTAGGCACAGAGGGGAATCTCATGGGGCTCCAGCATAGGTTGTAAGGCAGTTTGTGAAAAGAAGATTACAAGTAAGATGACCATATTATTTATCGTCCAAGCTGAGATGCCTTTGAGAGTTAAAGGAGGCACTATTAATAATCTTGTCACAGCAAAAGATGTAAACCTGGATTGTCCTGGGCAAAGCAAGACATGTGGGTGCTTGGCACAATGAAATTGTATGTTCAATACCCTTTGATCCCATAGTTGGGGCTATTTACATGTGTGTGCAGTTGTACTGAGGTATCAGATTTAGAAAGACACCAAAACAATTATTGAAAGCATTTATGGAACATGCCTGAGAAATTTCCCTAGGCACATTCTGCATATTTCAAAAGACAAAACTTTCAAAACGAGCATGGCCATGTTAGTCTGCTCACCTCTCTAAAGGAGTCTGCTCAACTAAAAATCAGAAAAACACACTAATGCTTATTAGGTGCCACACACTGCTCACACATCAATCATCTCCTTTAATCTTTACAACAATGCTATGAGAGGAGGTTTTATTCTACCTGTTTTAGAGATGGAGTAACTGGACATACAGACTTCAGTATCTTGCCCAAGGCCATAAAGAAAGGAACCAGGGAAGCCAGGATCTAATCCAAGCCCCTAACTACAGACTTTCTATTGTTCCCACCACAATTCTGCCTCCTGAATAATCCAGATACGCAACATGTGGCCTGGGGGCAGCCCTCGACCACAGGATGCAGCCCAGCTGAGATTACTAGCTAAAATATGGTTCACCTAATTACCCCTGCCATGGGACCAAGTGCTAGTGGTAAGAGGGCCTAACAACCTGCCCTGGTTTGCCATTCTGGAATGGGTGGGTGCCAAGTGTCCTGCCAGAAGGCTGGACCATTCACATAATTGTTGCTGAAGCTCAATGCAATGAGTTATATACTTTGGGCACCCTAAAGCTATGGAATTACTCTGATACAAAGAATAGTGGCTGGCTCTAGCGGCTCTGACTTCAGTTTGAGTCACAAACGACACTCATGCTAAGCACAACCCTCTCAATTTACCAATCTTATCAGTAGAAAAAAGCTCAGCAGGCAGCTTACAAACATAACAGTCGCAGATCCTGTGGTCCACTGGTAAAAGTATTTGAATCCCACCAATATAGAACAGAAAAGAAGTTAAAGTAATCCAGAAGTCTGGTAGATAAGTAAATAACTGGCATCCAAAACTTAGTATTAAGAAGGAAGAAAGCATCTATTCTTGAACACATAAGTATAAAGTCTGAAGAAAAACTATAAATGTTCATACTTCATTTATATCTGCATTTAGGCTGTAAATAATGTTGCCCTATTTTGTTGAATATTGAAGCCTGGGTAACTTAAGCATAAAAAAATAAAGTAAATAACATTCTAGTTTAGGCTCCTTGCAGAGCACAAAGAACTATAAAAGGAAGTGAACAGATTCTGGGATAGAACATTCTAAGAAAATAACTTGTGGCCAATATCAGCAATTAATAAAATAAACAATTTCCTGTCAGTTGCCTATTTGGATTTGATGAAAAACAATGCAAATCAAATACAACCATTTGGGGGAGGCTGGAAAATGGAGGAGGAGGAAAGCAAAAGGGAGCAAGTAGATTTTAGGGCATGAAAATTAATATACTCTGCTTTTGAAAACCTAAACTGAATTGTGACAAAAGCTCTTTGAGCAGGCTAAAACAAGCAACCATGCTTTGGCCTTTCAACAGTTAACTTGTGTGGTCTAAAATGTATTAGCACAAAGTAAAGTGGGGAGTTGCTGATTGGCCATTAGATTTTTCTGACCTTAATGATCCAGGTTTCCTATCTATCCAGACAAATTCACTTTGTTATCCAGCTACTGTCTGTTTAATTATTTATGATGTGCCCACAGGTTTGCTGGGCATGCGGTATCTTTGTTTCCCCCATTCAAAAAAAAATGTCTAAAGTCAAACGCAGATATTATTTTTAAGATCCAATTAAAAAATGGTTACTGAGTGTTTGTTACCTGTGCAGAACTGGTAAATACAGTCCAACTTCTGCCTGCAAGGAGCCTAGTTTATTTAAACCATGGGCCAAGACACACATAAAAGTTTTATTTCATTTAAATGTGTATAATAGATGTGAAAAGGCTGCTTGTTGTCCATGTTGGAGAGCTCAGTGTCAAGACATAGGTGAACATAGTAGTATAAAGACAGTAAAAGTGTTTCTCCTACACCACATGACACTATGACAATGGCAATAATGATACTAAGAAAAATAAGGGCTGCCACCTTGGGCAAGGTCAGATCATTGGTCCCTGTGAAGCTGCAAGCCCTGGTCAAGCAGCCACAACGGGTGACTAAAAGCCTCCTGGCTATGTTATCTGCCAACTTCTTCCACCAGCAGAAACAGAGATTCTTTTCCTTCTTCCAATATCTCCTACATTTAAAGAGGGCAATCAAATCCAATGTCTGAAACCACTGATGCTGCCTTAACCACAAAAAATTCAAACTGCCACTGTAATGTGGGGAAGCAATGGAGTGCAGCCATATACCCAAGCGGGATACAAGTAGCTCCAGCACCTGGGGCACAGGGTTAACCTCTCTGAACTCTGATTTCCTCCTGTCTCTGTGGTTAGCACAGGACCAAGTCAGAGAATTACGGTAAGCACTTTTCACGTGTTTTGCATGCAGTGAGTGTTTAATAAGTGTTGGCTACCGTTATTACTTCTAAATACCAAGATAAGGTAATGGCCGAATTTCCTACTGATTAAAAAAGAACCGAAGATTGCCATTGTCTGGGGATGAGGGGAGCGAAAGATCACAGAGACCTGGGAGTTTTTTGAGGTGATGTTAGTGCCCTATATCTTCATGATGGTGGTGATTAAATGACTGAATGTATTGGTCAAAGTTCACAGAACTCGACACAAACCAGTGTGAATTTTACTGTATGTAAATCATACCTCATTTTTTAAAGTATCAACCAAAGTATTTAACTAGTTCTGACTAAATCATCCACAGCAATAGACATTTTAACTTCATTTCTTTCTAAACTTAAACAGAAATCTAAGGCCTAAAATGCTACTTCATATTTTTAGACCAGGCTCTTGAATTAAAAGATTGAGCTATTTGCAAATAAGGGATGCCATCTGAACAATTAACCAAATTAACTGTTTCAAAATAAAGCATAGATTATATTGAATAGAGTGATGAAATGAATTATGGAAAGAGAAAATGAAAGTGATGTTTTCATTTACTAGATTACTTAAGATGACAAACATAATGGCTTCTTCTCTAAAATCCAGTAATGAGCCTTTGTAAATAATCTCAAAAGTCGACCGTTATTTTCAATAAGCTAAGGAAAAGTAGAAAAGTCTGGTGATGATTTCCATGATTTATTTATCATCTCAAGGTATTTGTAAAAGGTTCTACAAAGCTGCTCACTCTGAATTTTAATCAACACTGTTAACATAACCAAAGAGTTCTTTTAGTATAGATCTGTGCATCTATTTTGGCAGAAAATATTGTTTTACAACAATTTCTTACTCAACACCACATTTACAAAACAGATGGAGTACCAAATAAATTATTTTAAATGAGGAATAAGATTCGGGTCAGCCTACAGTGTATTTCTGCATATGCCCTGCACTTTAGCAATAGTCCCCCTTTCTTTGCCCACCTTATAGCACATTTAGGCCATTATTCTCCCTCTGATTTAAGGATCTCCAACAAAGAGGGCTGTCAAGACTGTAATGAAGATGAAAGCTAGGAGAGAGGCACAGTTCAGAAGCCCAGCATTTCAACTAATACAACCCCATAAATACCGGCCTCAGTTCCCCAGGCAGCATTCACTCCCTGCTATTCCCTCAAGTCCCCAATTATCACCTTGCTTACTAATCTACTCCTGCCTCTACTCAGAGACCACCTGACTGCATTCATCCCTTATATTAAAAAAAATAAGGAAACCAAGGAAAGATGTCACTATTGCTTTTTCACATGGGCTTCTGCTTTAGCTTTTTATTCTTTTTTTTTTTAAACAAAAGTGAAACATAATTTCTGCCATTCACATGACAAAACTATCTGTGCAGTATTTGTTGCTTTATGAAATTTGATGTTAAAGACTTTGTTTTCTATTAGGATATTGTCCTGATGCTGGAAGTTATCTTTAGAAAATACCACAATACATTCCAAAAATCTTGATGCTTCAAGGCACCAATTCAAAGGGAAATATACCAAGTAGTTACCTATTTAAATATAGCATCCTCTCTTTCCTATAACCCAGTATTGATCAACTTTCAACACTACTTCCATAATTTTCGAAAGTTTTAAGAAAATGCAAAGTGAAAACAGAGGCAAGAAAAAGGAGTATGTCAAGCCTTCTTTGGAGGTACAATACAATGAACAAAATATGGGACTGGTAAATCCAAAACCAATTGTTTTATAAATTAACAGAACTCAGAGAAAACATGTACTTTCTCCATTCATTCAATAAGCAATTTATTGAGCTGCTACTACATTCCTGGCACTTTATATCTAGGGTTACACTGGTGAACAAGAAGCCAAATGCTTTCTTTACAAAGAAGAAAAATGACAAAATATCCTTAAAAGTTTCAGAATTCAACATAAGTATCAATATCATTTCTAAAATCAGTGATTTTTGAACATTAATCATTTCCCCCATGTGCTTCTAGAGCCTTCAATTAAGAAATGGTATCTATTGACAAGTTCCCAATTCCATATATCAGAAATACTAACAAATCATCCTTCTTGCTTATCGCCCAGTAATGTAAAATTAAAACAAATGTTTTTGTAATTCAGTAAGTTACACTATGAATCTCACTATGGACACTAATAAAGTTTGATTTTTTAATGCAAAAACAAGTATTCAAAACAATTAAAAGAAAGGGGTTAAAATTAGGTAGGCTGGTATCTTCTTTGGAATTTTCACCTCAAATTTTATTAACACCACAATGCAAAATCACCACAAATATTTTATGACAAATAAAAACAGAAATGTCACCTAACTCTGTCAATAGGATTGATTATCATGCACAGTTGAAAGCAACTTCCATGGAAACATAAGCTACAGAGTAAAAGAAAACGTAAGTCACTAAAAGCTATGTATGCAGCAAAAAGACACTTTACTTTCCTTAGTTTATCTCTACGTGTGTGCTGCAGGTAGTTAATACACTTCATCTCCAAACCCTTCAAATTGTGTCCTTGCCCAGACATAAACTGCGCAAACAGATGACAAAGGGAAATGCAGTTTCACAATTGCCTCTTACATAGAGTAGCAAGATGGTATATTTCACTAGATTACTGCATAAGTTGATAACACCATCAGACATTTTCACAGTACTTGGAAGATTTCTGTAGGTCCAATAAAATTTCAGATACCACCACTGCCAACTCTCTTTACTGTGGCACGTTCTGCCCTCCCACCAGTTATCAGCCACAGGAAGGGTGGGTGCAGCCTGTCAATTTGCTTTGCTGCTCCCTGTCCTGATAACTCCTTGATTTTCAGAAAGCAATGTTTTCATTTGCTCCAAACTTGAGCGAGCCGAATGAGCTGGTCTTGCCTAAGGCTCTGCTCTTCTTAGCTCATCAACTATTTTTTTTTGCACTTCATGTCATGAAAAATATTTTTACATTGCGAACCAAAATGTAACATTAGAATGAAACTAACACAAACTCGGGAGTTCCTAATATTACTTCTTGAGTTTAAAATGCTCAAAACAATCGCTGGCTTTCTTCCGCTAACACTGTGCAAGCAAAACCAAGCAAACTGCCCAAAAGAACTTCCACAGTACTCGAGGCCTGCCTACTGCAGCAAGGAAAAAGATTAAATCGTGTGGAACTGTAATCTCTGAGCTTTTGAGCCTAAGAAAGCGGAAATCTGCATTTATGTTCAGAAATCTACTCTATTTTTCTTTGTGACTGAGTGACCGGATATTAGGAGATTTTGCACCCTCGAAGTGTAAACATTTGTAAGAGCCAACTAACTGTATACGGATCAGAAGAACCCTATTAAATAATCTCTGTTCACCCTCTGTTCGCCGCCTGGGATTTTTAAGAAAATGTTCTCACATTTCACATAATCCCTATCTGTGTTTAAGATACAATAGAAATCTTACAGGGAGTCTGTTAACCAGACTAGGCTACACATAATAGTATGCCCTACCCCGGCAGGTACAAGGCCCTAATGCCAGACCAATCCTGGAAGAGGTGACAGCCCCAAGTTCAACTGAGGATGTCTGAGCACAGCTCCCCCTGCACATTAGGGATCACCTCTCCATTCTTTCCACATGCCATTTGCATCCAATCCCCGCTCAACCACCCCAAGCACCCATGCTCCAGTGGTTCCTGTTAGCAGTGGGCTTCCTCCTTCCACCACCACTCCCCCAGGGAGAAAATAGAATCCAAGGACGGCTGAGGGTGGGCGATGAGCGCCCTTCTCCCACCTACCTTGATGATGCTGCTCCGGCGGGGCAGGCCGCCCGGCTTGCTCTCCCGGGGGAGGGTACAGACGACCGCGCTGGGGGTCGGGGCGAGCGCAACGCCGCGGGGTCCCCTGGTAGGGCTAGCCCGGGCTTCGTCCCCGGACACGCCGAGGCTGCAGTCTCCGTTGGAAACCCCGCCGCTGTCATAGCGCGCCCGCCCGTGGCCGAGGCGACCTCCCCCGCCACCGCCTTCCCCCACTCCGGCTTTCAGGGCGCCCTTGGCGCCGAGGGCCGGGCCCGGGGAGGTGGGCAGGGCCCCGCCGGCGGCGCCCCCCCGGCCGCACTCCGCCATGGGCGCCCCGCGACCCGCCTGCACAAAGCCGCGTCCTCGCGTCCCCGCGTCCCCGCCGCCGCCTCGGGCCGCCGCGCGCGGCCCCTCCTCCTCTCCTCCCGCCGCCGCCTCGGCCGCTTCTTCCGCTTTTTTTTTTTTTTAATTTAGATGTGATGTTTGTTTCGAGCTCTCGCCTTGCGCACGGTTAAAGTCGCGGCGGCAGAATTATCGGAAGATTCCTGCAGGGGAAAGAAGAGAGAGACGAGTCAGCTCCGGCGCCGGCGGAGCCCCGGCTCTCGGCACCTGGGGAAGGAAAACACGCCCCAACACACGCGCCTCTGCGGGCGCCAAAAATAACCCGCGCGGGCCGGGCGCCCACCCCGGGGCAACCCGCGCCCACCTCAGGGGCCCCAGGCACCCACCCCGAGGTAACGGGGCGCCCACGTCAGGGGCTCGGGGCGCGCTTCCCCGGGGCTCAGAGCAACTGGGGTCGGAGCACCCGCCACGCAGGAAAAGGCGCCCACCTCCGGCGAAGGGCGAGGGGAAGTGGCGGCCGCCCCGACACTCTCTGGACACGCGGAGGCGGCTCCCGAGGATCTCCCGGCCCCGGGCGGGCGGGGGGCGACGCGTGGGTCTCTCCGGACCCTAACTCCCCAGAGGCTGCCGCGTGCCGAGCTCTGTCACGTCCCCTCAGAGCCCCGTTAAGGCCCGCGGCGCCGAGAGGAAGCCCACGGCGGGCAGGGGCGGCCGGGTATGACAATCGCCGTGCGGCCCCGGGGCAGCTCCCGGAGGGGGCAGCCCAGACCCACCCCACCCGCCGGCTGCTGTCTCCTCCCGAGCTCGGCGCTGCCCCCTACAGGCCGCGTGGTCCCTCCTCGGTCGCCCCCTGACCCACCATGAGCCGCCTAGCTCCCTGTCGAGATTGCCGCCGTCGCGGCTGCTGTCACCGAGGCCGGGTCATCGGGCCGCGGGGACCTCAAAGCCGAGTGGACGGGAGCCCCAAGTCATTGCCTATCCTTCGCCTCCCCAGAGCTGCTGCAACTGTCAGTCACCCACCCGGAACCCCGAGGGGCAACTACCAAGTAGGCCTCGGGGCCCGGAACAAGGGTCCCGGGGCTCAGGATCTCGGCCGCTGCGCCTCACTCCTGCCCCAGCCCCGCGCACGGAACTCGTTTCCTTCCCACCCAGTTCGGGACACTCCTCTCTGACTTCCCCAGTAGGTCAGACCCATTTCATACACTGGGACCAATTCCTTTCCCTTGGGCTCCTGATTGATTCAACTAGTTGGAAGGATGCTGAGGCAGGGGTGAAGGCTGGGGTGGCTGGCAGGCTATGAGGGGCAGAGGACATCAGCAGAGCCTATTTCGTGCCCTCTGAGTCTCCACACACAGATTTATCATTGAGACCTTCCCGATTCCCCTACCAGGGATGCCGGCTGGCCCTGCCGGCCTGCGGGGCCCAGCCTAAGTCAGGCTCATCTTTTGGGACAGGATCTCACTTGCAGCGCTACAGCCAGTCCCTCTTCTGGTTCTCACGCACCCACTTAAGGCGGAGTGACTGGCCTAAAAGTCCAAGCTGATCGTGTGGCTTCCGTTCGTAAATATCTCCCCTGGATCTCCCTCCCTGGAGCCAGACAAGACTCAAAACTCCGAAGGGTGAGACCCCAGACCTTCCACCGCCACCCCACGCCCCAGGCCTGGGCCCACCCACCTCTCCATCCCAGGCTCCGTGGGCTCCAGCTTCCTACCCTCTCTGGCACCCCAGCCCTTCCCCAACTCGTGTGCTTTCATTTCCAGGAATGCAGTCCCCGCAGGGCGCAAAGGAGAAACTAATAGTCCAGAGGCGGGGTGAACTTAAAGACCTGGCTTTCATTAGCGTGGTGTTGTAACAGACTGCCAAGGAGCCTCTAAGGAAATGGATTTACGTACATATACATACTCGCCCTTGCCCCTGAAGCAACATCAAATACTTTCATGTTATTCTTGGGGGCGTTTTAATTCTTCCGATCCTCTGAATTCGTGTTTTTGTACATCTCTTTCCAACCTGGGCCTACACACTAACAGAAATAGTTTTTTACATCGAAGGACAATGCTTAGTGTTTTATTCAGTCTCAACTCTTTTCTTTCTTTTTTCTCGTTGTGTTTCAAAATGTTTATTTTTTCTGTCTTGTGATAGTTTTGGAGGAAAAATATTGAAATAATTCAAATCAGGCTCTTAACTCTGCTTTATTAAATTTATAGTCATAGTAGCCTGTGAGTATGCTTCGGGGGAGGAAAAAAGAATGCTGGGGTCTTTATTCTTCAAGTTCTCTAAGTTTGATATTTTGAATAAACACCCAGAGGTGTCTCTGCCTTTTGTGTGTTAGTATCTAATCTTTCCTGCATTTACGAGTCACTAGTAAAATGCTATGAAAGCCATAGATCCCATGGCTCTCACTGTGATTTTCCTGGGCTGAGTAGGGACTTAGTGATGTTTAACCCCCAGTATGCTTTTTATAGAAGCACCAGCTGATTCACCAGTGCCCTCCAAAGTGAGCACCTATCCATCTCACTCTGGACTCCCAACAGGTCATACCAGGGAGCTTCGTTGAAATAGACTTGGCATTTAAATTAAAATGTTTCCCAAAGCATCTTGGCAGACCTGTAACTAATGATGCCAGAGGCCCAAGGCCTGTGCCAGGTTCCCTTTTATTCCCATAAGTGCTTGTCTCCCACAAGCCACTGGTCACACGCCTGCTGATGTTATAGAAGCACTTCTTCATCCCACAAACAGCCCAACTGTAGGTACCCTATCTCAGACATGGTGAAGGGAAGCAGCATGTTCCTCTGACATGTGCGATGCTTGGCTCCCAACAGGCTTTTTATAATAAGCTAAACTCAGATTTTTTCATCACAAATAGCGTAGTAAGTAATTGTTTTTCCTCATTCCTGCTTGTCTCTCTGCAGTCACTAAGTGGTTGCTGTCCATTCCTCATATTCCACAAGCAATATTATTGAAGAAATTGTAAATATTTTGCCAAAATTCTTGCTGTTTTCATGGCATTGTGAAATTCGTAGTAGTTGGAGTTAGAAAAAGAGCCAAAATATCATAGTCATTCCTCAGCGAATATTGTCTAATGGTTCCCTCAGATTACATTTCAGAGCAGGGCAATAAAAGATAGGCAAGACATTAATAAAATGCCCATTCTAAATAGCTCCATGATGCTTATGCCAATTTATTTTGTCTGTATGCAAACGGTTGGATTCTGGTGAGTAACCTGCTCATATTTAAAGTAGATACCTTTAAAATCTCATTCTATCATGCCAGCAATACAAGGCTTTATCTCTTTTAAATTTTCTTCGTATTTCAATCCATCTCAGATTTTAATCATTGTCACTCTTCATCAAACTGTCTTCTATTTGCATCATCAATTTAATGCCCAGAACTTGAACTATTCAGACTCCCTGTTCCATAAGAACCTTCCTTCAGTCTCAAAAATAACACTGACTCAGTTTACTGACTTCTTGCCATCATTTATACCCTCGTAGGTTATGAATTCATATCTAGTTTCCAGTTCACAGGCTCCAATATTAGGACTCTCCAACTTTTTTTCTGATTCAGTGAGTACTTGGCCTTCAGATTATTTTCTTCGTTAATGTATTATGACAATTTTCATTTCCCAAACCTCAATCACATGTTATTTCCTCTATTTCTCCAAAGATGCAGTTCAACCTCTGAGCCTTCATAGTCAACTGCTGTTCATATGCTTAACATAAATGCTAACTAGAGCAGAAAGTAGATGACCAAAATGCTTTAAGGAAATAGTAGATTATATCAATGTACTAGTCCACACTGGCAACTCATTTGCTTCCTGAGTCAATCCAAGGGGTTGATTTTAATCTATTATGCTCCTACAGCTTAAATTATATTTATTTTATCATGATCCTCAACAACAAGAAATATGTAGCGATTGATTGCCTTTTTTCCTGAGCAGTAATGTGGCAAGTTAGACCTGCCAAAAGCTTTCATTTCCATATTTTCCTCTCTTCTGACACAAAAGATCCTTCACCCATTTTCCTTGGATCCATCTTCCACAAGTGTATATGGCTGCCAAGAAGTTAGGCACTCAGGGAATTACAGCTATGCTTTTCAGCCACTGAGGAGCTACTTTGCGAGTTCATTAAGTTTTTTCAGTGGCTATTGGTAGCACTTTGAGGGAATCTATTAATCAATGGGAATTTGATAAGATCATTCTATCAGCAAAAGGATACAATATGATAGACTAATATGAGTCCCTCAATTAGTGTAATAACTGTTACTTATTACACTGGTTTTATAAATGCTGTCTCATGTATATGATTGTATGTCTACCACCATTTTATTACAGGAGTCATTGCAAACTCAGATGTGTATGGGGGCCAGGTAGGTAATGTAATGAGTGAAGTTGGAGGGATTTGTTTCATAATAGCATCATAATTCTTGTTTTTCCAACAACGATATACTTTGCATATCAGAGTAATACTCTTCCTGATTCACTTCTGGCTTTCTAATTTTGATAGGGCCTTGATACAAGAAATATTTCACTTTCCTCTTAACTCTAAAAAAGATGTGTGAGCATACTGATAAATAGCAACTGACACCCAGCCAGGTGTAGTATGGCAACACAGAATGTTAGACTCAGGTACTCTGGTGAGAAATCTTTTGGCTACCTTGAGGGAATCTTGGCTCAGTGCTGCCAAGACCATCTTGTTTTTCTAGAGAAGCCAAAAATCTGGAACATAAAACTTGTTATTTAGTTAGTTAGTTCATTCTCTTAAGGGAAGGACATCCACAAATTGAGGTCTTCACGTATTGTTTTTTATGAAGTCTACAGAGAGACCTATTTTTTTCCTATCCCACCTCCAAACCGCATGATAAGCAAAGTTTAGCAAATGCCTTCCAAAGTCTGCATTTCTTTGGGTCTTGTCAATCTGTTTTTTATTGACAGGTTTATTTTCATGAGTTTTAAGAAGTCAGAATATCTGATGACCACATCATTTTACACATCCCAATATGTGATGGGTTGCTACCAACCTATTTCCCTTCATCTACCCACTCCCAAATCCCAACCCCAGGAATATTTCATCTCTGAAATCTGAAACTCAGAGACTCATTGTCTAGCCAGAAACTCTGCCCTTTCATCAGTCCCATTCTCTTACTTCCCCCAAACCCACCTGCCAGTCTTAGCAAGACCTGTACTTTCTCCACCCCTTCCCAATCCCTTAGTCTATCAGCACCCTTTTTATCCTTTTTCCCCCGACCTAGCCTGGGCCTCATGACCAAGACCTTCAATTAAACCACATTCTCACTAGCATCCTAGATCCCTCACATTCTTGTCCTTCTGCTGTGCCCACCTTGACAATATATAGCTTTTCATAAATCTAACTATGGCTTTCTCCGTGCATGCCCCCAGGTGCCACTCTGCTGTGGAAAAAAAATCATATAGCTAGGCTGTGTTACATGTGTATGATTTCCGTCTTCAGCAGAGCCTCTGGTATATTGAGCAATATTTTACCGTTTGCTAATTGCCATAAATCTTTATTCTCCAAACTGTTACTCTTCAAATCCCAACTAACCCACTAGTTCTCAATATCAGCAGTTGTCCTAGGATTCTACTTCACAAAATGCACCAAAAAATAAACTGCTTTAACTTTTTTTCCATTCCACTTATTGTTACTTCACCCACCACCCCTGCTTTCTAAGGGTAACCCTGAATCAGAAACCATCTATGTATATTTTCTATGCTTATTGGACTCTTCTGCTGTGATGTGATTGATCTTTTGATACCAAGGTGTTTTGTTACCCTCTAGTTGGCAGAAGCTGGAATGGGGTCTTCCCTGAGTGAGTGGCCAATCCCAACTTCAATCATACAAGGGCAGGAAGGAGTCAGGGATTTGGAAGACAGCCTTAGACCACTTTCTCTTGGGTCTGGTGCCTTGAGTCTTCATGGGTGCTCCAAGGGAGTGAGGAGAAGACTAGGGCCTCCAGGAGCCAGAAGGGGAAGAAGTTGCCTTCATCAGAAACCCCATGAGGCTGAGCCTGTGGGCTCCGAGGATAGGGACTTTGTGTTTAAATGTGCTTTTTATGGTCTAATTCCCCAAAGTTGTTAATAAAGAGGGGTTAGTATTAATAACTCCTCTCAGCTGTACCATCATGGATAAAGTGATGGCCTCTGAAAGACAGAGCTACTCCTTCTCTCACCCCCACAGCCAGTGTGATGGCTGTGGCAGCCATGAGTGAGATTCCAGGGGAAAGTAAGTCCCTGAGTTAAAGAGGCAAGCGGTAATCGGAGTAGACCAACCCCTCAGGGAGCTTCTCTTTCCTTTGTAAACCTTGAAGCACTGAGGCAGTTCTTCCAGTTCTTCTACCTTGCTTTGTCACATCTCTTGGTCCATTCTCTATGCATTTTGCTTTCTTCTACATATAAATACATTCTAGACATCCCTTCCTAAAAATTTTTCCTCAACTCTCTTTCCTTCTCAAGCTACACCTTCTCACTCTCCTTGCTCCTCACACTGAAATTTCTGTGTAAAAAAAAAAAAAAAAAATTCTTTTCTCTCTGATGTTCATTGTTCTTTTTGTTACCAGCCTATTGTAACTGGCTTCCATCCCCTTCTATGGAAACTGTCCTCCCAAAGATCATGGTTAAAATCCTGTATCAACAAACTCAATGGCTACTTTTTAGTCTTTACCTGTCTTGGCGTTTGTGGAACATTTAGTATTGCTAACTCTCCTTTTATTGTTGAAACTCTCTCTTTCCCTGATGAGATTCTTGGCCTGACTGTGCCCCAGGAATCTTAAACTCAACATACCTTCATTTTAATTCCTTGAATCTGTCCTTTATACATCTGTTTTGTTTTGCTATCCATGCTGTAGACTAACTGAATGAAGAACTCAGCATCAACTTCCACTCCCAGGGCCTCCTGTTCCAGTTAACTGTCGAGGCATTGTAAATCAACTGAAAAGTACCTTTCAAACCCATTCCCACCAGAATGGCCTGCTTTACTGTCTCATTGCACTATTGTCTATTGGACTTCTGCAATAGCCTCCCAACCCTGCCTGCCTCTACTCCCTCCCAACTTCAATCTATTTCTCAAACCATCAAAGCATTGTCCTGGAGGATCACTACTCAACCCCAAAGTCTCCAACAGTTCACTTTAAAACAAATTTGATTCCCTTTGGGAGATGCACAAGTTCCATCATAACCTGGCCCAATCTTCCTTTCTAGCATTGTCTCCTACCTAGATATGTTCCATAAATGCTAGTCATGTCAATCTACTTCCCTGAAAAGGCCATGCAGTCTCACCCTCAGTGTGTTTGCTTATGGTGTTTGCTAGGTTTAGAATTCCTGTTTCCCTCTCTGCATTGGAAGAACTTAGAGGCATTCTTCAAGAAAACACAAATGCTTCCTCCTTTGATAAGATGTTTCTGACTCCGGAAAATTAATTGCTCCTCTAGGCTCTTAAAGCACTTAGTACATACCTCGACAATGGCCCTCATTATAATATATTGCAATTATTTATGTATGAGTCTTTTTCCCCACATGAGCTTGAGATCAACAGAGCATAACTTACAAATCTTTTCTCCATACTAAATGAGCTCATCAGAGTTTGACACTACATAGGATTAATCCTCAAACTGTCTGCACCAGCCCAGGACCTGACATATCATATATCTTCCATACATTTGTTGATTTTAATTAATAAGTCTGTTTTAAAATCCATCTTTGCCCTTCATATGCTTATAAAACCCTTTCTTATTTCATTATTTCATAAGGCCTCTTTCCTTGGTTCGACTGAATATGTTTTATTCTGTGCCTTCCAACTTTTCTTCCTATTTTTCCTTAGTAACTAATACAAATAAGTTCATCATGTTGCTAGCATTTATAAATTATATATGTATTGTGTGAAAAGGACTGTATTTGATGCTGTGGGGGGAAGGTGACTGGGAGTTTGGGGTAGGAAAATGGAGGCTTATTTTTCATTATGTATGCATTACAGTTCCAATTTTTAAAGTAGTTAAAAATAATAAAGGGAGCAGTCCCAGCCCTGCTATGGTTAATAAAAATTGTGACCTATCTCTGAGACGTAAGATTAACAAAACCTTACCAGACCAAAAACATCACCCCTTAAGCTTGGCACACTGCCTGACTCCTTTCTTAATTAGTTGGAAATTCTAACCATCAACAATACACAACACAAGAGAGGACACAATCTCCAGAATGTTGCTGTTAAAATGTACAAATTACCTGGAAAAAGGAAGCTTCCCTAGACAGCTCCCACTTACGCTCATTAGCAAAAAATGAGCTAAATGTCACCCTGTTCTTTTTGGCAGAGACATATGGCATTCACATGAGAGAGAAAAGACAGATTAATCTTGTTACCCAGAAGGTGGCAGGACAAGTTTCGGGGGGGGCTCCCTCCCATCCCCTACTCCAAAAAACCTTAGAGGGCGGCTTGGGCAAGTGAGGAGAGGTTGTGAGCCACATTGTGGTTTTATAATCTGGCTCGATGTCTGCCCTGAGACAGAGAAACACCTAAGAGAAGGGTTGGGAGGGCAATGAGACTTGAGAGAACCTAGGCCTTGGAGGAAGTGATGGAGCTGGCTTGCTGGACAGGGGTCAGAAGGTCATTCCAGGGAAGATGGGCAGCCCAAGCGAAGACACATCCAAGTTCCTCTTCTACTCACTAGTCCCTATGCAAATGCTTCTTGCACTATTAAACTTTAGTTAAGACACGATGAAGAAGAGGCCTTAAATGTTCTTTTAAAATCATATGACCATGTAAATAGAGGATCTTGAACTCAACTGGGACAAGGACAAGAACTAGAGGAAGTGGATAAGCTGTAGCCACAGGGATTTTGGGTGCCACAGAAAGGAAATTGTCCCTGCTCTGACATTAGGCACTGATATGCATTACCAGCAAGGCCTTGGAATTTCCTTTTCACAAGAACCTTAAGAAGGTAGACAGTTATCTACAGGGATGGTATGAGCAGTTCCAGCCTGAAGGCAAAGGTCATAATGAATGACTCCCTTTGACCTGCTGATTCTGGGTATTTAATCACAGATTTTTAAAAACTTTTTTGAAGTCAAATTAGATGTTAGAATTTTTTTCTCAGTTTTCTTTGTCTTCATTTTCATGGAATTACTATTTGGTGTGGTGTAATGAAATGTTTCAGCCCTCTTCCAAACACGTATTTCTCACGGGGGGGTTCAATTGCCTATTTACTGTTTTGAAATGGAATACCTTTGTAATCATATATTCCCGCAGTTTGAGTTCACATGTTTCATCTAGCTGGTCCATTTTTCTGCCTTTTAAATTAGGTTCACTAGTTTATTTTTATCATTGAGCCAAAGATCTCAGGATGTTCTCTGCTTGGGGTAGATTTTCCACTTGAAGAATTATAAAATGACCCTCTTCCTAACATGGTAACTTCTTTGATGCTGTACACTTGCTGTGTTTGTAACAGTTAGGGGAAATTAAAGTGTCTGGTAGAGTACAATATTAATGCTATTAGAGTACATGGAGAAATTTTAAATCTCCCTCAATCTCTATTTCTGATGATGGATTCCTTGGGGTTTTAACTCTATGTTGTATTCAAAATAGTGTTTGGTTTTTTTTTTTTAATCGTCATATTCTCCAGTGTCAAACTCAGCATTATTGCTTCCACAAATACTTTGTACATTGAACCATCTCTATGTTATTTTATTCATCTGTTCCTCTAAGAAGACCTTGTTAATCTACAGTGACATTTCAGCCATAAAAATGAGTTCAACCATCTCTGTTCTGTCTCTCTTTTCCTTTTAAACACTCAGCTTAAATCTTAAGTCTTTCATAAGCTCTCTTCTCTGCAGTGGTGAGTAAACATTTCATTCCAGCAGTCTACTGTTCTCATTCTTACTTGTAGGGAAATTCAAACCTTCTGTCTAATTTTGGGTATTAGGAAGCAGCCTGGCTGTGTAACTTAGCCCCCAGACCCAAGATACTCTAGCTGAGAGTATGGATCAGAACCCTTGCCAGTTGGTCATTGCTTGGCATAAGACAAATCCTTTAAACCTTAGCCATTTCATTTTCCTTCTTGGTCACGCAGGGATAAAAATGGTGACCTGTTTCCTGACCTGCCTCCTGATCTGCCTGCCAGGGTGGATGCAGACCAACATTTGCAAACCTTAACGGACAATATGAATGCTGATTGGAAAGAGAGCAATTGGAGCTCACAAATAATTTCCCCAAAGGTCAATTAGACCCACAAGATATCTCTGGCATACAGAGGAAGTATCGGCCTCATCTATATTTAATGTAATTCCCTTCTCCCTGGTCCCATTAAAGAAGAGTTTGGGGTGCAATAAATAGTTCATGATAAAAATGTCCATGCACCCACTTTCCAGAACCCCAGCCAGTGACCCCCTTATTTCCATTTTGAATATAATAAAATGTCTGTTCAATAACAGAATATGGATATTTGTTGGAACATACAAACTACATTCTCTTTGCAGTGCTATTGGCAACTGATTCCTATGTATTATGTTGACTTGGGGATTGTTTATATACCCACTCACCCCTCAGCACACAGCATGTTATAAAAACGTCTTACTTTTAAATACAAGCTGATAATTCTGAAGAGAAAGAAACGTAAAACATCGAGAATACAAAACCTAAATCATAATCTCATCAACAAAGAGCCAGGGTAGCACAGCAACCAGAGACTGTAATGGGGAAAACCATTTCTGAATCCAGAAAGGTGGGCAAGTAATAGGTCTCATGGGTTGGGAATAAGATTATTCATAAGTATCAAAATTAAAGAAAGTGTCAGGAGAATTAGGGCTTTCCTTGTGTGGCTGGCTTGGGAGCCCTACTTGTTTCTGGCATGTGTGGAATAGGGAGCAGAGACGAAATAACAAAAACTTATTTTGTTTCCCTGTGTGAGTCAATTTACAGTAATTCCAGCCCTCAGGATGGGACACGCGGGCATCATGAGCTAAGCAGAGTATCAGAGATGTAGCTTCACATCCCTGAACGCAGGCCCTTCAGAGGGAGTACACAGGGACTCTGGGGTGGGCCTGCTTTGAGATTTAGGTTTCACAGACTTATTTCATCAAGATTCTCTTTCCAGGATTTGGAGGTGGGATTCCTGTGAGTATAATTTAAGCCTTCAGCAGCAGCTATACTAAAAAAGAGAAGGTCAGTTTGAAGATAGAAAAGTGAAGCAACAGATATCGGGTCTATCAGTGATAACAAAGAACGCTCATCTTCTTCTGAGCCAGATTGTCTCCCTCAGTGAGCGAGAGGGAAGGAGGAATGCCGTGCTGAGAAGAGAAAGAGGAGCAGGTTGAACATATTTATTCCCATTGTACAGATGAGGCACTGAGGCACAATTAAAGTTATATCACTTGCTCAGGGCCAAGTATGGCTCCGAAGTCCATTAACTTTACCACTGTGGAATACTGAGGAGAAAAAAATGCCAGGACACCCTCCTGGAAAGTGCAGCCCAAAAGGAATGGTAGCTATGTGAACACCTCTACATCTCTATTATCTTCAGCAGATTGGGACCCAGTTCAGTCATCCTGGTTAGCTATTCCTTTGCTAGGGGCACCTGGGCTTGGAGAATTCCACTCCATGAATCCCTTGCTTTCTGCTTCCCTTCCTGAGGTCACTGTACAAAAAGACAAAAAAACACATCAGAGTGTTCAAGTAGTACCACCATCTTGGGGAAGCCTTGAGGGTTGACCATGTACCACAGTGGAGAATCAGTGAACATTCAATATGCACCAGGCACGATTTCAAGAGCTTCTCATGCTTTACCTCACTTAGCCCTGACAGAAACTCTGATAAACAGCTAATTTTATTTTCTCCATTTTACAGATAGGCAGGCTAAGGAGGCACAGAAAGGTGAAGTGACTTGCCCAAGATCTAACCACAGTGAAGACAAGCTAAGGCAGAGAGGAGTATGGGAGAAAAGGTCGTAAGCCTTAAATGCAGTGCACAGGAGCAAACCCAGTCCTCTGTGTTACGAGGCTGAGGGGGATGAGGATTCTTGGCTGTGGGAGAGAGGTTGGGGCAGAGCTGACTTTTGTTCCTGCTGCTGCTCCAGGCAAAAGCCTTAGTGGAGCCTGAGGTGAGTCTCATCGGCTTAACACCTGACCTCAGGCTCCCCTGGAAGAACAGTAGTACTCCCTTATTTTCAGGGGATATGTTCTAAGTCCCCAGTGGATGCCTTAGCTGCAGATAGTACTGAAACCTATATATAACACATTTTTTTTTCTATCTTATAACTGAGAAGGCTACTAAGTGACTAATGGGAAGGTAGCATATACAGTGTGAATATGCTTGACAAAGGGATGATTCATGTCTCCGGTGGGATGGATGGAGGGGGATGTTGAGAGATTTAATCAAGCTATTCAGAATGTTGTGCAATTTAAAACCTATGAATTGTTTCTTTCTGAAATTTTCAGTTTGATATTTTTGGATGGCAGTTGACCATGGATAACTGAAACTGAGGAAAGCAAAACTTCAGATAAGGGGGGACTACTGTAACAAAGGAACACTTGACATGAAGCGAAGGAGACACAAGAAGAGAACTTTTAGCAGCGATTTCACCCTGGGGATGAGGAAATGTGAAGAGCTCACCAGGGAACTTTCTCAAAGCTGCCTGGCTAGAAGAGGATTGCGTTTTAGATGATACAATGACTTATCTAGAAAACCCAACAAATCCTCCCCAATCAGCCTGTGGTAAAAATGAGTTCAGCATAGTCACAGAACATACCAGCTACGTAGTTTGCAGGAGCCCTTTGAAAAATGAAAATTCAGGGCCTCTTGTTCAGAAATTATTAAGAATTTCAAGAAGGTAACAATAGAGCATTAAACCGAGTTCTGAGAGCAGGACCCTGTGTGACCACAAGGGTCACCCTTGAAGCCAGTCCTTGTTCAAGGCATGTCTAGGAGAAGCTGGCCAAGTATAAAAAGAAACTCATAGAATTATAATTACAGCTCTCAGTACTAAAGCTTTAATGGCAGAATCTGTGCTCAAATAAGAGAGAAACTATAGCAGACAAATATTAGGAATAAAGTAGAAAAATAGACTTATGGAAACTATGGAATCATAGGGCAAGGGATTGTAAAGCTTCTTTCTACTTATACAAATTAATCATATACTGGGAGAGAAAAAATGCACTAGAGCTAATGCAAAAAACAATAGCATGAAACCTATGAAACCATATTCTCATATGACAACATAACAGGATAATTATACTTAAATAGGAAAAATGGAATTCCACAGAAACAAATCTACACGGAAATAAAAATTAAATATTTCACATTAATTTATGTAAAGCTATAGTAACAACAAATTTAAATAGCCTGAGATGCTAGCAGAAATGTACTAAAAAGGAAATTTATCTCTTAGATATACATTAATAAGAAAGAATAAAAACATCATTAATTAATTCTGTATTAAATAATTCTAAAATGGAATAATGTAATGAATCAAAACAGAGTAGGAATATAAAAATACAACAGACATTTTAAATATAAAGGAGGAACAGTAGGAATAAGCCAACAAAACAAGAGTTTGCATGTTGACAAAATGGACAAAATTGATAAACTATTGACCCAATGAAAAAGAAATTACAAGTTCGTGAAATCAGGGAAAAGACAATTAAAACAGCGTAGATTTTATTAAGTGTTAAAGAGCATTGTTCTTAGCTGTAAGTGTATAGCTAGTTGAGCAATCATGTTCATATGATTTCTCACAAACATGTAATGAAAACATATGCAATTAAAAAACATGATCAATTCCTGATACATAGATAGGAAAGGTTAGATATTATGACCCTGATGCAGTAACTGGAGAATTTTTCTAAGCTTTTAAAGAATAAATAGTGTTTTATGCTGCTTAAATTGCTCTCCAAAAACATTTTTAAGGTGTTATATTTCCTTAGGGAACAATATTTCTAAAATAAATTTGTTGAGCCTCAAGCTTGTCAGGGCTAGGCAATCTCATTAATGAAACAAAGGTGCAAAACCTTAAGCAAGATTTCAGCAAATGAAATGTAATAGGTTAAAAAATTGTCCAGTGTGGAAAAAGCAGGATTTACTCCAAGTATATTAGAGTAAAATATTTAATAAAATTAATCACAAAAAATAAGCAAAATAAATACAGCAAAATAAATAAGGATTACTGCCTTAATAGAGCATAAATGCGTTAAAAGTAAAAGTCAACTATAAATACTAGCATAATGTACTTAAAAAGGAAACAATGATATGTAAATACAATGAATAAAATTTTATTATAAATTATGTTTTAGCAAGTTAATGCAGCTATATCTAAAAACTAGAAATAAACAACAAGCCACAAAAGTATTAAGGAATTCAGAAAAAAATCAGACGGTTTAACAGAGTCACAAAATTCAATGCCATTTTTTTTTTTTAATTTTTAGTGACAGGATCTCACTCTGTTGCCCAGGCTGGAGTGCAGCGGTGTGATCATAGCTCACTGCTGCTTCAAACACCTGGGCTCAAGCGATCCTCCCACCTCAGCCTCCCAAGTAGCTGGGAGTACAGGTGTATACCACCATGACTGGCTAATTTAAAAAAAAAACACATTTTTGTAGAGATAGAGTCTTGCTATGCTGCCCAGGCTAGTCTTGAACTCCTGGTCTCAAGTGATCCACTTGCCTTGGCCTCCCAAATTGCTGGATTGCAAGTGGGAGCCACCACACCCAACCTCAATGGTATTTCTTTATACTAATGACATACCAGTAGAAAATACAGAGTTTTCATTAAAACTATGAAAAAAGTTAACGAAATCAATTCAGAATAGATTGACTAAAAACAATATGTAAAACCCAGATGAAAAAATGAAGGAATATATAATAAATAAGCAGAAATCAGGCATTTGGAAAGCCTAAAATTAGAAAAGATGACAAAGAAAACACCTGAATTTTAAAGAATGCAATACTGATATTGCTATAATGGTATAGTGTGGGATACTGTTACATACTATATATTAAGTGATAGTATCCTGTACTATTACAGTATGTACATACTAACAGTAATGTACTATTACACCAAATACTGTTACATAAATTAAATGTTTCAAAGTAGTTTTACATTAACCATGTTTGAATGGATTTAAAGTCTCATTTTTTATAAAGATGCTTCTGTTTATGAAGAAAGAAAAGGAAATGCTATGCTATATTGCAACATGATCACAACAGTTACCAAATTTTGGTTATACAGTGCAATTGCACCACAGGTTTCACTTAGGAAAATTCAGCTGTACTTACTCTCATCTCTATTTGATGTAATTTTAAATGCTGCCAAATTGTGTTTTGTCTTTCTCACCTAGGAGTCCAGGAGAAATTAAGTCCGAATTCACTAAGACATCCATTCCTAGTATGTAATGTATTAATATTAACTTATTTCCTTGAGATCTAGGATTGTGTTAGCTATCACATTTTTTTTTTCTCAATGTTGGGAGAATTGAGAAAACAGTCACCACAATCATTTTCTGTGTTCTGTGGTTCAGAAGAAGATTCCTAGTAAATTTGCTAAAAATTGACTCATGCACATAGAATGGGTGAATTTTAGGTTGTATAAATTATACCTCAATGAAGTTGCTTTTAAAAAAAATTATTTAGCTATTAAAAGAGCAAGTGGTTTCCTCTGAAAGAAAACCAGACACCAAGACTGTAGAACAGTGTTGTCCAACAGAACTTTCTGCAGTGTTGGAAATGATCTGTATCTGCATTCTTTAATATTGTAGACACTGGTTGGTGTGGCTTATCACCCTGTGAAATCTGCCTAGCTACTGTAACTGAGGAGCTGAATTTATTTTATTTAATTTTAATTAAATTTAACTAGCCACATGTGGCTAGTGGCTAGCATATCAGATAGTGCAGCCACAGAGAATTTTAGGGTCGCACCTAAGGAGACTCATCAAGGGGTGTGAGTTGACCTCCTAGAAATTTTTTCAGGAAAACATTGGCTAACTGGAGTCCTAGAGACACTGACTTCACCAAAGTCAAATTCTCTACCTTACACTTCCTCAGAAGCCATAATTCCAGCTCAACTCATTCCCACCTTCACTAATCCCTCATCAAGAGCCCACGATGGAGAGTCTACACACTAACAGCTGCTTTATATTTCAGTTTGAGAAACACTCCCTTCACAGATGGGGAAACTATGATCCAGAAACCTTAATAACTGGGCTGTTTTATTCCTTAGACACCACAGATGCAATGTCCAAACCCTGGGGGTTCCGCAAAGACTATAGAAAATGTTTCAGACCTTAAATAAATAAATAAATAAATAAATAAATAAATAAAATATTGGTTCAAAAATATAAAAAGGGAAAAACAAAATCAATGAAAATTTTTATTGCAGATTTGTTAGAAACCCACTTACTTTTCAATAGAAGTGAAGTTATAATCACTGACTGGGAGTGTGGTTAATATAGTTAATATGATGATGGGTGAGTTCCCACCATTAGTG
Organism: Homo sapiens; assembly: GCF_000001405.40. Taxonomy (NCBI): domain Eukaryota; kingdom Metazoa; phylum Chordata; class Mammalia; order Primates; family Hominidae; genus Homo; species Homo sapiens. The sequence goes on along the minus strand of NW_017363813.1, from coordinate 181,027 downwards.
TCTAGGGCATTTGAAGGTTTCAAAGGCCATAAGGGGCCTCCAAGCTTGTTGTTATTCCTTTTAGAACACTGTCCACATTTTATTTACATTTCAATACTAACTTTAACCTTAAAGTCATATGTTCATTCATCTATTTTTTTTTGTATTGGTTTTACTTAAACTTGAATGCATGAAAAACAAAGACTGTAAACAAATATTTAATATATGTGCAACTTATAACACAAAAGAGCTGCTTTTATCAGAAACCCAACTCCCTTCCATCATTTGTTTTATAAATACGGATGTCAAAACTATTCTGAGCATATTTTTAATTCTACCAGTAGCCAGCACCTGCATCTCTTCAAAGATTAACACATTCGGGAGGAGTATTCATCACACCTGCTATTTTTAAAATAATTTAAACTGCAGCTCTTTCACTAAGCAAGGGAAGATAAAAACAAGAAGTCCATTTTTCTTGAGACTAGTTTTTTGGAAATGATTATTATCTGACACTTCTCGCCATACTTATGTTTTCTAAGCCTGAACATCTTGGATATTCTAGTTTATGCTTAAATGATGCCTTGCTAAGAAGAAAAATTTGTGCTTCATTTACCTCCCTTTGTCTGAAAACATAATGGGTGTATGTATACTAAACAAATTCTTATGACTGTCCAGCTCATTGTTACCGCTGTGATTCGTTTACTTCATGGGTAAGTGGTTTGCATCATGATATTTAATCACACCATTAACAAGAGTAGAAGATATGTTGATTTAAGCAAGTTTGAGATACACCAAAATTAATCATTCTATATTTGTGTTTCTGGTGGCTATGAAAAACTGTATTTTCTCTGGATGTCATTATATTTCTTAGCTCTTAAAGTCCAACTTTAATACTACATAAATTTGGCCATTTTGCCAACATTAGAACACTCCATGCATCCACCATTCCTCTAGAATTATTTTTCTGATTTATATTTTGTTACAAATGCAATTACTAGAGGAGCTTCAGACTACTGGGGTCCACATTCTACTTTATGTCTGTATTTTCTGTTCAGAATTTATCAGTGGAGACTTCTGGGCTTGTTGATAGAGCTAGTTCTATGATTCTATTTCCACATCAAATGTTCCTCTTGCTGCATTATTTTATCACTTATACAGATTTTTACTTATATTTCAAAAAGCACATTCAGTGCTGAATATGTACTACGTGCTTTTCTAAGTACTAGACATATATTAACTTACATAATCCTGACAACAACCTTGTAAATTAGACACTGTTATCATCTTCATTTTGCAGACGAGAAAATTGAGGCACAGAGAGGTTACATAACTTGTCTAAGATCACACAATTAGGAGCAGAGCCAAGACTGGAGCAAGGCTTTAGTGCATGACCACTTCACCATCGTGCTATGCTGTTCCCCACAACTTAGTGTATAGGGTCCCACTAATCTGGTTCAGATTCCCAGTGTGACTCCAGATCTGAGGTCATGCCGAGGTGTAAGAGCATCCACAGGGGAGAAACCTGGAGAGGGCAGAGGCACCTATAAGTTTCTAGAGCCGGCATATCAGCAGACTGGTGGGTCCATGGGCTGTAAGGGATTCCCTGGATGATAAGCAATTCCAGTGCACTGTGAAGTGACTCTCTCCAGCCTTGGATCAACAGCTGCCAGTGAGCCAGAGCTCAGTGCCCTTTGTCATCTCACTAACAAACCAGCGGTAGCCCCAGTTACATCCTTGTGGTAAACCTCAAACAATTATGCCTTTGCCCTCTAGTGTTATTTTTCTCCTTCTAAATATTGCCACATTTGGAGACAGGATAAAGATTGTCAGAAGAGGGGAAGACACATGAGCATCTGAATAATTCTGCTTACATCAATGAATGGCCAGGGCACCATCCACCCCTGGAGGCTTTCCCTGGAAGATTAATGATCCTCCAAAATCAAACGGAAACAAACCAAGGCCAAAGAGCAGTAAATCAAGCCCCAAATCATCACATACTCTGAAAGTTTAGCCTTGAATCTTACATCAAACAGTATTCAGCATTTTGAAAAACATAAGAACACTGGAGGTGGGGAGGTGGGGGGGTTGTCAGTACCACATCATGAAAAGGGTTTTATTCACATCAAACTCGAATAAAATGGAAATGTCCACTGTGAAGAAGTTGAATGAAGAAATATGTATCAAAGCTGTTGATAGCCAAAGATCCCTCATTTTGTGTTTTACGAAATTCTGTCAAAAATTGAACGAATTCTCATTCACACAGTCATTCTCTGAGAATGATTCCCCAGGAAACTGACTCTGAGATGGAGATTAATGTGTAGGAGGTTTATTAGGAGTGTTCTTGGATAAAGAACTGTAAAAAGGAAGAAAAACCAGCAGGATTGGGCAGAAGGAGAGGTTGGGCTCTCCTTGGGGAGTTCAGGAGCTGGATGGCCCTTCAGAGTTGTCCCAAGTTGGAGCAGGCAATGGTGCCAGGTTTTATACCCCTCCGTTGGCCAATTATTAGATATGGTTTGCCCTGGAAAGATAGCCTGACCTGGGGGAGGTGACTCTTTCCAACCAAGATCAACTCTAAATAGGGCTGAGGGCCATCTGCTGATAGTGCTCTCAACAGCAGAAGGAATAGGTCCTTCCGTTCTACGACAGCCCTGTCCCGCTTCAGCTTTCACAGGCTATGTATTTGTAGGGAAAACATTTTGTTTTTAACATAACTCTAAAGGGATAGGTCTTTGTGTTATTTAGCTCCTCCCAATAACAAAATGGCATGATGAAGTTATAGATTAAAATCTAGTCCCCACTATGCAATTTAGGATATGCCTCTTAACTCTAACACGAAAACCCTTGTTCTGTTTCAGCACCTTAAAAGTAAGGTTTCCCTAAAAAGATTGTGTTCATTCTTGCCATTGCTGTTTGCAAGCCAGGATCACTGTACTAAAGCCTGGCTGTGTCAAATGGGAAAATGAAGTCCATTTGTAAGCTGTAAGAGTGAAAAGGGAAAAAAATAGATGATTTGTTTTCTTTTCCAATTCCAATGCTGGAACCACAGTTGATGCCCAGTAATAAGTGGTTAACTAGGAATTAAAATAGCATGGCCCTACTGGCTTAAAATATGGAATCTCAAAGTGGGTCTTTGAAAAAATTCCTTGACTCATTCATAAGAAGAGCCAAAAATGCTATATTTTATGGGGGAAATATGAGGATGAGGATAAATAATATACAGAGGAATGGATTTAGAGACTTTTAAAACCCATTAGCATGTACAAATTATAAGACACAAAATTCGTTCCTATCATGGGCCTCATGAATAGTTTTCCTTGACCTTTTCATGATGATGGATTTTTTAAAATCCACCAAAAAAGTTGAAATGTCAACAAACTAATATATTTTTATGCATATTCTGACTTTGAATGAGTCAGCCTAACCTTGTTTCCTACTTGCTAAAGAATATTGTTGACCTATTGTATTCTAAGGTTATTGTAACTCTCGGCCCCTAGTAGTCATTTCTCTGCCCAGAAAAAAATTAGATCAAATAATTGTTCACTTAATTAGAACATATCAAGAAAACTCAGTGCTAAATTCAGAGGATAACAGTAACTTAGTTGTTCAAATTATCTTCAGGTTTTTTCAAAGAATCCAGAGGAATCTGAGGATGAAGCAGTCACTCAGCGCTTTACTGAAAAAACTGGATGATGTCTCTTCAGCAGTAAAACATTAATAAAGTCCAAAGCACAGAATTACTCATTCCCCACTTCTGACTCATGCACATTTTCAGAAATAATCCTTCTTTAAATGTTGCTGCAATGGGAAATGTGAAGAGCAAAGTTGTTTTGGCACAGCCTCACTTTTGTTTTATTGAGTTATGAACCATGTTTAGTTTCGCACTTACGATATTGTGCATTCCAGATGATATATTTGCACACATAACATTACTATATACATTAGAAAGAGACCTGCTATGGCAGCTCCTATGATTTAAAAAGTCTCTATACAGCTATTCAAAGAAAACGTTTTAAAGTGATCTATTACCTTTCCCCAGGAAAATAGTTAATGTCATCAGAGTAACGTAAATTTCATATAATATGTATTGTAATACCCTTTGATTTGAGAGCATGTAATGGCAGTTATACGTAAGGAAAAGCTGATGAGAAGTAAATGTTTACATAGAGTTGATTTTACTTCTGGAAACGAAAAGGGAAAATGGATATCTAAATGTCAGTGATTTCAGGACATAAGTTCCTAGTAAAGGAGAGAAAACCGTCTCTGTCAGTTCAGCTCAAGGTATCCATTTCTGGAAAACATTTCTAAACCACTGTGGAATCTGAGGATGAAGCGGTAACAATGCTTTACTGAGGTCTGCCATGATTGCTCCGTGCTCTGAAGTTCAATGGAAACTTAATGTCAGTTCACTCACTAAGGCCTCAACTATATCCTGCCTTGTTTTTTTAAGCAGGGACTTTGGAGTCAGTCAGGGATCAGCTTGATTCTCATCTTGGTCTTCATCAATAAAATGGACGTCAATCAGATCTTCCTCAAGGGACTGTTATAAGGATTAATTAGCTAATGTATGCGAAGTATTTATTACAGGGTCAGGCACACGTTAAGAGGTGTAAAACCAATAGCTATTATTACTATTTGACAGTTATCTGTGTTATATATATTAGAAAATATTTAGGGGTGAAATGCCATGATGTCTGCAACCTACTTTCAAATGTTTTCAGGAAAAATGTATATCAACAGACATAGAGGGCACAAAATATTAACAACTGCTGTGACTAACAATTAGGCAACTGCATTTAGTGCAATTAGATGAAGAGTATATAGATGTTCACTGTACCTTTTTTTCAAATTTCCCATAAGTTTAAAATATTTTTAAATACAGAGGTGAGAAGAAAATGTAAATCAGATAGTACCTTTCTGTGCTTAAGTATTTGAAATAGATTACTTTGTGCACATTCCCATTTTCAGCCCTATTCTGACCATTTAAGCACATGGGCACACCACACTTCATGATGCACATAAAAGCTCATTGTCATAGTTTTGTCACAGATGAATGGTCCCCAGTCAGTCTTTCCATTTTATTGATAATTTTCTGCTCTCACCCGACCTGCTCTCCAATCTTTGACTCCATCCCCCAGCCCTTAAAATCTGCTTCTGGCTGGGCGCGGTGGCTTATGCCTGTAATCCCAGCACTTTGGGAGGCTAAGGCAGGTGGATCACGAGGTCAGGAGATCGAGACCATCCTGGCTAACACAGTGAAACTCTGTCTCTACTAAAAAATACAAAAAAATTAGCTGGGTGTGGTGGTGGGCACCTGTAGTCCCAGCTACTCGGAAGGCTGAGGCAGGAGAATGGTGTGAACCCAGGAGGGAGAGCTTGCAGTGAGCCAAGATCGCACCACTGCACTCCAGCCTGGGCAACAGAGCAAGACTCCATCTCAAAAAAAAAAAAATCTGCTTCTGACCTGTTTTCAGTTTTTATGACCCACTTACTTTCTCTTTCTGGCTTACCATTTCATGCTTTTGTTAATTCCTTGATTTTTTTTTAACTCAAAAATGCAATCAGTTGGCCAGGTGCCGTGGCTCACGCCTGTAATCCCAGCACTTTGGGAGGCCGAGGTGGGCAGATCATGAGGTCAGGAGATCAAGACCATCCTGGCTAACATGGTGAAACCCCATCTCTACTAAAAATACAAAAAATCAGCCGGGCGTGGTGGCAGGTGCCTGTAGTCCCAGCTACTCGGGAGGCTGCGGCAGGAGAATGGTGTGAACCCAGGAGGCAGAGCTTGCAGTGAGCCGAGATCGCACCACTGCACTCCAGCCTGGGCGATAGAGTGAGACTGCATCTCAAAAAAAAAAAAAAATGCAATCAATTATACATATTTGTGGTAGAACATAAAATTCAGACTTCACTGAAGTGGGGGGAGAGAACAAGTAAAAGAAAACTAACTTCCTTTTAACTTCACAGCCCCACTTATTAAAACAACCACTTTTAATCACCTAGTTTATTCTCTCAGATAGTTTTCTATCCATATTCAAAGATATAGGTTTATTTCTGTTTTTTTTTAATTGTATTATATAATATTTTTTCTTATCTTATTACATCGGTTTGGACCTCCATAACAATGCAAATTAGCAAAAATAGCAAATATCTTCATTCTTGATTCTACCTTTAAAATTATATTCTAAGACTTAAATTATACTTCTTTTGGTAGTCTTTGCCAAAATAAACTCTCATTAATGGGGCTACCCTAGCTTCTCAATAGATAAGAGAAATCGACCAATTAGAATTTAATTCCTGAAAGGCAGGAACTGTTTCTCATACTTTGTATCTCCTTTTGGACTTAGCCATGCATGTGTGCCATTTGTACTTGTTGAGTGAAAGGACCAAATAAAATAAGTAGATTAATTTTACTACAGATTAGTTTTAGTATACTAGAAATGCATCATGATTATTCTACCAACATTACTGTTGGAGGCTGACAATTGAAATTGAACAGCTTCTAGACAAACATATCTCAAGCAGTTTTGTAATTTTAGGCCTGCTGTGACTAACAATTAGGCAACTGCATACAATAATTTGCCTAAATAAGGATGCCAAATGGAAAGCTGGAAAGCTTGCTCTCTAAGTGTTTAACATCTCTTGTAAAATCTAATAAAACCGACCGTGAACTGCCCATTTCTGGGGCTTGAATTGAGGAGAGAGGAATATTGGCAGACTGATGAAAGTAGTATATACTAAGAATAAGCCAGAATGCATTCATAATAATATCTACCCCCTGCAAAATTAGGAAAAGAGTGGGTTGACCAAATGAGCATAATATTCAGTCTGTCAAACAATGGATATCTGATCTTCATCAAGAGAACACCGAACACACAGTCATTAAATCCCCTCTATTTTGCAATAGGAGGATGACTGGATGAGGCTATGAACTTTTATTCCCTTTAATCAGTCAACTCTCAAATATATCTACAGATGAGTTCTCACTACCTCGTAACAGGTCTCTAGTTTTCATCAGATTGAATTTTAATCTGGCCTCTGAGCTAAGAGTGCATACAGTTTCATAGTTGAAGGTCAGAGTTTATATCAACCCATCACCTTATTAAAAACTAATTATTAGGGCCAATGCTGGATCAGAATAAATATTCCTCAGTCAATGACTCAATTAATTGATTTATTAATTTATTCATAAAAAATGTTTAATGCCTATTATATACCAGATCCTATGCTACTGGTGACAATAAAGTAAATTAGAGTCCTTTCTATCAAGAACTTTATAATCTCCATGTTCTCTCATGAGAAATTAACAAATTATATTTCAATGTAATTTGTGGTTTAGTTCATATTATTTATAGCAACTGTCACGATTAAAAGATATCAAGCAGCAAGTATCTATACAGCTACTCATAGAAAAGCTTTGATACTAATATATTACTTTTCAGTAATCTATTACTTTAACAGATTTGTCTGTTAAAATCCATTTTATCTAACCATGACAACACAAGTCAGCCTTTCTAAAGGGCTTCTATCATATGCAGTTTGTTTTTCTGTCCTCCCAAAGGATAAATACTGAAAATTATTAAGAAGAATGCACTTAACGATATAACCTAACTAACCAGTAACCTCTTAGCTAATGATAGTACACACCACTCAGTGATTTATATGATGTTTAATGTAAAATTTAATGTAAAAGTAAAATTTTCTAGAAAAGTAAAGACCCCAGATTACTATGAATGATATCTGTTAACATATAATCCCAGCAAATTAACGGAGGCTTTCTTCAAATTTTAGAATCAGTTGAAGATCTATATACACATTATTACCATAGTCTTCCCTGACAAATACTGTACTCTCATGCTGAGAACCAAGCATTACACAATAATATCTAAGACATCAAAAAGATTGAAAGTCACTAGACTCAAGAAAATTCAGATTTCATGCTTATATAATATCTTCATGGAGTTCTTCCAGAACAAAACTCCATCACCATACTCAAGGCAGTTTCACTGATTCATTAACTACACTTTTTTTAGTAGCCCAGTAAACCTGACGCTCATTGACAAAGCTGAAGTTTTTCAAAGCTAACATAGCCCTAGGATGCAATCAATAGAGTGTAACAGGGCTTAAATTATAGCTAGACAGTATTTAATCAAATTATGTCAACATATGCCAGCTTGTTTGTAGACTACTGTATCCAGCTCTGCACGAAAGTAAGCCAAATCCTTTCTTTTTTCCCTTACAGCATGCACTTTAGAATGTAAATTTACGCTTGTAATGTGTAATTAGAAGACTGTATCATCTTGTGGACTTAGATAAGAAAGTAAAATCCTTACTTCTCTGACATTATCAGTACTTCCTTACATTTTATAAAGCATATATTTCCTTGACTTTATCCAATGAACTTCTAATTATGTTGTTCCATGATTAATTATGATTCCATGATAGCCATGATTCCATGGCTAGTATAGAAGTTACAATTTTTACTTGCTGTTTTTATGATTTTCCCCCTGATGATTCTTTTGTGACTTTTTAAATGATGTCTGCCAACATGTAAAAAGGGGGAATTTATAAGGAAAATGTTATGGAGCCTGATTGATCGTTTCTTGCCACTAAGCATGCAATCCAAGTAGTTGGCACTCAGTGAAAGAGAGAAACTTTTAATGGGAGTCCAGATCCTAAAATTATACCATGAGATCATAAAGTTAAACTACTCAGTGCATATTTACAAAAAAGTTGGGAGATAAATGTAAAAAAAGTTAGTTCTATTTTTAAAAAAAACTTTATTAAATATAACCAAGGGGTTCTATTGTGGAGTGTCTGAATACAATACTTTGCTTGTTAGATTCAACTAGTTGAAACCCCTTCGCTCTCCCAAATACCCAAAATGCTTTACTAGCTGCCCTCTGGTCTCCCCTTTATTTTCCTGGCAAACATTTCTCTCTCCTCTCTCTCTCGATGATAGGTAGATAGATAGATAGATAGATAGATAGATAGATAGATAGATAGATAGATAGATATAGATATATCATATCTATAGATAAATATATAAAATCAGATATATTTTATAGATATATAAAATCAGTGTGTATATATGTATGGAATATATAATAATATATAATTATATATGATACATAATTATAAGTTTGTATAATATATTAGGTATATTATGTTATATAATAGCATTTATGTGTGCATGTACATTCATATATATGTATATGCATACAAAGAGAGAGATTTCAAGGAATTGGCTTATGCAGTTGTGGAATCTGACAAGCTTGAAATCTGTAGGGCAGGCCAACAGCCTGGATTTCTTCTTCTTCAGAGAAACCTCAGCTTTGCTCTTAAGATTGGATGAGGACCACCCAGATTATCAAAAAATTTTTCCTTTACTTAAAGTCAACTGATTGTGCGTTTACAAAATACCTTCAGAGCAACAATTAGATTAGGTGGGCACTACCGGGAACTACAGTCTAGCCAGGTTGACACATAAAATTACCCATTTCACCCACCAATTATTGAGATTTCTCTCAAAGGTCACCAATGGTGTCCTTGCTGCTAAATGCAGAGCTCCTTTATTGGAGATTATTCTCTGTTGCACCTGATAGGGTTCACTATCTCTCCCTTAAAAATACTCCCTCACCATCACCAGAATCCTATTTTTTTTCCAAGTTTAAATTTAGTCCTTTCGAAGAAACATTATATTACTTGATAGCAATTTTAATGCTATGGGATTTTATAACATGTTAATTATTTTTAAAGTGACAATATGTGGATGCGATGTATGCTAAATTCATATTAACCAGGGTCTCGGTGAGCTGAAAAATCTAGGTCCAAGCCCTGAATTCTGTAGATGAGGAAATAACCAGCCAGAGCGCTTCACTTTCCCATAATTGGTAATAATAATCTTCAGTAAAAGATAGGACTTCCAAATATTAGTACAATAAATGGCATTTTACACATAAGGAAAGGAATGAAAAAGGGTGATAGAATTGAAAAAAAGAAAGGCTGTTTCAGACAAGGATCTTAACCTGTTAATCGATCATTATTATATCTTGATTCAAAACCTAAGTTATTCAGCAAAAGGCACTGAGATAATTGGATATCCACATGAAAAACAGTGACATTGGACTCTCACATTATTTATGCCATATACAAAATTTCACCTAAAATGGATCGAAGATCTACATGTAAAAGCAAAACTATAAAACTAATGGAATAAAACAGAAGTAAATCTTTGTGATATTAAATAATGTTTCCTTACGTATAACACCAAAAGCATAAATGACAATAGAAAATATAGATAAATTGGACATTATCAAAATTTAAAACTTTTGTGTTTCAAAGGACATCATCAAAAAAGTAAAAAGATAATCCAAGGAATAAGAGAAAATATTTCCAAATCATATATCTTATAAGGGACTTGTATCCAGAATATATAAAGAACTCTTATAACTCAACAATAAAAAGACAAATTACCCAATTTAAAAATGGGAAAAGGATTTGAATAGACATTTTTCCAAAGAAGACATATGAAATGGCAAAAGACACTCAGTATTATTGCTCAGTGGGGAAATGCAAATTAAAACTACTTCAGCCCCACAAGGATAATTAAAATTAAAAAGACAATAACAAATGATGAAGATGTGAAGAAATTGGAACCCTCATGCATTGCTGATGGGATTGTAAGATGTTACAGCTGCTTTGGAAAACAGTTTCATAGTTTCTCAAAATAAACATAATTATCATATGACCTGATAATTCACTTCTAGGTATGTATCTGGAAAGTTGAAAACATATGTCCACACAAAACTTAATACATAGATGTTCATGGCAGCATTATTTATAACAGCCAAAAAGTAGAAACAGCCCAGATGTCCAACTAAGGAATGGATAAACAAAACGTAGTATAACCATACAGTGGAGTATTATTCAGAGCATAAAAAAGGATGAAGTACTGATGGATACTACAACATGGATGAACTTTGAAAACATTATGCTAAGTGAAAGAAGCCAGTTACAAAGGGTCATGTATTGTATGCTTCTAAATCTATGAATGGTCCAGAATAGAAACATTGATAGAGATAGGAAGTAGATTAATGGTTTCAAGGGCTGTTGGGAAAGGGAAATGGGGAGTGACTGCTAATAGGTGTGGGCTTTCTTTTTAGGGTTATGAAAAGGTTCTGAAATTAGATAGTGCTGATGATTATACAACTATGTAAATATACTAAAAACCACTGAAAAGTTCATTCTAAAAGGGGGAATTTTATAGATGTGAATTATGTCTCAATAAAGCTGTTATTAAAAGACAACCTAAGTCAGTGCATTTTGCTATCATTTTTGTTCTTGTGGTGATTGTGTCTTTTCAATTATTAGATTTGCATATAAAACTACAGTTGATACTCTTGGAAAACCACTGAAGTTTGTCAAATTAAAATACAAAGCACATAACCACAATACTTTCTTTTAAGAGACAAATGATTGATTCTGGGTTTTTAAAGTAAGAAAATGAGTTTTCCATTTGACAATGAATAGTGTTAGAATGTAGTGCTATTATTTAAATGGAATTACAACATGTGAAATTTCAACCTTAATTTAACTTGAATATTTTCTTTTCTCTGCATCCTGTACTCAAAAAGAAATGACTACCTGATACCAGATAGAACATCAGAAGATTCTGTATGTTAGAGAGGAAACTTATTTCGTTGAAATGAGCATAAGTTTAAAGCAATTGCATTGCCCTGCAGGATTTTAATTCTACAAGATTATCTCAGTGTTTCTTAATCTATCTTTCATTATCACCTCCTAAGAAATCTTTTTAGACTTTTTTTCTAATCATCTCTCTTCTCCATGAAATATTAATACTACTGATATACTGCATATCTGTTTTTATACTCTATGTACAGTATATCTATACTTTATCCATGAAAAAAAGAAAGATCTTTTTACTCAAAACCAATTTTTTAATTCCTTTTAGTTGATATTGTCCCTGCTAAAAATGCATGATCTACCTTTAAAATTAGTGTGTGTATTTGAGTGGACATATTTTATTTTTCTTACAGTAAAGAGAATTCTTTCAGCAACTGAAATTCAACAGTTACAAATTTAAGTAGATAAAATTTAATTTTGATAAATTTAATTTAATAATAATTAGGAAAAGCAATATTTAAATAATTTTTAGAAATTCTAAGTATAGATAAAATATTAGGCAGCTTTCAAAATTATTTTTCTGAACATATTCATTAACATTGAAATCTGCTTATAATGAGAAAAAAGCAATGTGCAAAACTATATCAAAAATACTTTATGAATTTTCTAAAAATGCATATATATATGAGTACAAATGGCTACAAAAATACTCATTAAAATGTTAATAATGGTTATCTCTCAGTGCGAAGATGCTAGGCAATTTTCAATTTCAACTTTATACATGTCTATAGTTTCCTAGTTTTCTAAAATGAGTGTGCATCACCATTATAGTTAGGGAAAAATGTTTACCAACAAAATATTTATTGAAATTAATTAATATCAGGGGAAAATATAATGATACATATTTCATAATACATGAAGTAAGGTATTATATAGCCTTTTGGGGAAAGGTTTTGTTTTTGTTTATATGCCATAAAGAAAGTACTCTATGTCCAGCCCATGCTCTTGCCAATATTTTTGATACATTTTCAGCAAAAGTATTAATCCTTAACAAATGACAAGTTGACTATGACCTAGGCTTGCAGCAGTTATCCTCTATAGAATCATTTCTCATGTATTTCAAAGTTACAGAGGAATCACTCAGGAAGCAAATGTTTGCTGATGAGTTTTTAAAGAGAGTGGATCCACTCAAAGTCATTATGCACTTTATTTCAACAAAGCCTATTTAAGTAATGACTCAGATTTGAATATAGCAACTTTTGGGGCTACTGAAGGAAAGATGCTTAAAATACCGTTTGAATACACAATTTGCAGAGTGCTCTTATTTGATGCTCACAACAATCCTGTGTGTCACTAACAGCACTCTTATTATTTATGATGAGTACACACTAGGCAAGTAAAAGAACTGGAACTCCAATCCAAGTCTTGGGCTCTAACTCCAAGTTTCAGGTTCTTTCTTTAGATCATTCTTCCTTGCTGAATGAAATTAGTGAGTACTTTAAACATAAAGCAACTGAAGCAATGAACCACGATTTACAACCTCATCAAGTAGGGCTTACTATAGAGCAGGATTTAAATGTACCCCAACTGTCTCCTACACCCTGTGGTCCCCTTAAGCCCAACAGAAAGGGCCAGTTGGTGGTTCAGAGAGAAGTCTTCAGGTCCATGAGGAAGGCTCCATCCTGACTACTGCCACCGGTGTGCTAGGTTCTGCCTCAAAGCATGAGAGGTCCTCTCTTCTAGTACTCTCAGGACTTGAAGGAGGGGTAGGCTGAGGTGATGGGTGAGGGGATGGGACTATGGAGTTTTAAGAGGCCGCTGTCCGACTGGGCCCAGGGAGCATGTGCCTATTGTACAGTCTCCATGTGGAAGCATAGAGGAGCATCAGAAAATGAGGAGCTTGGTAGGAAATGTCCTGCAATGCACACTGCTTGACTGTTCTCATCTAGATCAGTTCTAGTCATCACCCCAGGCCTGAATACATTCAAGATTTTAAGATTGAAAAAAATGTAAAAATATACTAGTGCTTAAATATACCAGTGCTTAACTAAACCTATCATGCCACACATATACAATCAATTGATTTTTGACAAAAGTGCCAATATAATTCAACGGAAAAGGATAAGGATAGTCTTTTAAACAAATGATGCTGGAACAACTAGATATCTATATGAAAGGAACTGAATCTCAACCCTTATCTCACACTATCCACTAAGATTAACTCAAAATGGATCATAGTCCTAAATGTAAAAGCTAAAACTATAAAACATCTAGAAGAACTCTAAGAAAATATCTTTGCCATTTGGGGTAGGCAAAGATTTCTTAAGAAGTAAGAAGTTTTAGCCATAAAAGAAAAAATAGATAATTATATTCCATCAAAATTAGGAAGCTTCTGCTTCTCAAAAGTCACCATTAAGAAAATGCAATGATAAACCAGTTGCTGAGGGAAAGCATTAGCAATACACATATCTCACCCTGGCCTTGTATCCAGAATATAAAAAGAACTCTTACAATCCATTAATAAGAAACAAACCAATGAGCAAAAGATTGGAATAGCCATTTCAAAAATAAGTTATACAAATGCTAAAGAGTTCAAAAATAAAAGACACTCAACATTAATGAAAATTGCAACCACAATGAGAAACCATTTAACACTTACTAGAATTGGTAAAAATTAAAATGACTGACACCACCAACTGTTGACGAGGGTGTGGAGAAATGAACACTGGTACATTACCAGTGGGTATGTAAAGTGGTACAACCACTTTGGAAAGTAATTTGGTAACTTCTTCTAAAGGTAGATATTTATCTACTGTATGACTCAGCTACTTCTAGATGATATAAAACTTATATCTACTAAAAGTAATATACATGGATGTATATAGCAGTTTTATCCAGAATAGCCTCACACTGGAAGCAACACAAATGTTCACCACAGTTGAGTAATAAACAAATTGTGGTACCTTCATGTAATGAAATACTACTCAGTAATAAAAAGGAGCAAAGTACCAACACCACAACAACACGATGACTCTCAGAACCATTATGCTGAATGACAAAAAGGAGTATACACTATAATATGATTCCATTTATGAAAAGTTCTAAAACCTGCAAAACTTAACTATAATGACAGAAATCAGAACAGCGGTTGCCTGTGGTGGGGAGGGGGAGTAGGAGTGGAAGTTGTGCTTGAGTGCAAAGAGGCAGAATGAAACTATACTGTGTGACAGAAATATTCAACATCAGGATAGTGCAGAATATACACAAGGGTATACATTTATTAAAGCTCATCCTATGGTATACCTTTAATCTGCGCATTTTGTTGTAAGTAAATTGTGCCTCAATAAGTTGATTAATAACAAATTTAAAGAATTCGTAAGTGCTTTCTAAAAAGAAAACCTGCATTACTCTATAAGTCAAAAGCAACAAGAATATTCCTTCCATAAAAGCAACTGATTAAAGTGAGTGAACTTTTTTTGGCCTGGGCACAAATCAGGGTGCAGGAATTCACCCAGTTAAGATCACTTGGGTTTAAATCATGTCCATCCTTGTGAGACTATGGGATCTTATTCTATGTGTGTATCAGTTTCTTAAACAGAGGATAGCCAATTATGGGTAAAAGATAGTTTGCGGGCAGTTTTACTGATATGGAGATAGGCTACAAATTTTAAGCTCTCAATTTATGACTGAAAATAATTTGATATCAAGGTCTGTGTTTTGTCTAGATGATCATAGTAGATACTCAACAACTCTCATTGAATGAATGAATAGCTGAATAAATGATAAGCAGATAATCATCCTTCTCTCAGTATAAATATTTCATTAGATATGCACCAAAAATTATGTGTGATCTCAATATTTTTGTTAAATACTGTATGTAAACATATAATAAAAATAAAATTTAAAAATCATTTTCGGGAGATTAGAAGGTAATATATATGACTTAAGAAGAAAAAAAGAAAAGGCAGCTTGTAAAAGAATACTTTCTCTCCTTTTTAAGTAACTGAAATTTAAATTTCAATAGTCATATGTGGTGATTAGATACTGTACAGGACAGTGCAACAGTCTAGCCCCTCATTACTCAAAGCGTGATCTCTGGACCTGTAGCATCAGCATCACCTGAGAGCTTGTTAGAAATGTGGGGTGTCAGGGCTCACCCCAGAACTGCTGAGTTAGAAGCTGTATTTAACGAGGTCCCAGGTGACTTGTGTGCACATTAAAACGTTCATAACATTTGTCTATATCTAGAGGGATACAGGCCAAAAGGATATTGAAGTGAGGCATGAAACGGGGGGCTATGTATGTGTGTGTGGTGGGGGAGTGGTGATGTAGTGAGAAGAGGATTTTTTTGAGCTTTTCCTTTACATGTCTGTATTGTTTGACTTTGATTCAACAAATATATATAACTTTTACAATTTACAAAACAGAAAAAATTTAAAATGATGGCGAAATTACTATACAGGTGTATGTTATTAAAATGTTTAGTGAAAAGGAACATATCAAGTAAACCAGAAGTAAAATATAAACTTGTGGTCAAGGAGGAAAATTTCTTGAAGGTAGGGTTGGTTACTCTCCACTTATCTCTCCTAGTTCCAGGCCATGCCTGCCATATTTTACAAAAAATTAACTGATTGCATGTCTCAACATTCTGTTGCCTGCCATAACTGCATCCAAGAGTGTTAATAAAACTCACCTTCTCTGAGCCAACAACCCACCCATTGCAGTTAATTTGTATCCAGAAAATGGAGATTGCCTACGGGTTTAACTGAAGTCCATATTCTGTATAAACTCTGAGTATTAGGATGTTTTTCAGCTACAAAACATATTTTCTTTCCAGGGGTGCTAATACACAAGAAAAAAAATTCAGGGAAAAGTAATTTAAAAATTCAAGATATTTTTGTTTGGGACAGAAGTTGAGAGAAAGAAATATTAAAACTTTATCAACATGACCCTCTTAAAAGTTCTCATCAAAAACATTACTAATTATACCAAATAATAAAGAAATTTCCTCAGTTGTAAATTATATCCTAGTTGCCTTCAAACTTTTCTTGACTGATTGAAATAATTTTACACACACATAACTGAAACAAGTTTGCCCTGACCCTAAGTTGCACACAAATATTTTCTATTTTATTGTCTTTTATTCTTTATATTCTTTTCTATTTCTTTCTTTTTTTTTTTTTTTCTTGAGACAGAGTCTCATTCTGCCACCCAGGCTGGAGTGCAGTGGTGCCATCTCGACTCACTGCAACTTCCACCTCCTAGGTTCAAGTGATTCTCCTGCCTCAGCCTCCCGAGTAACTGGGATTACAGGTGCACACCACCACACCCGGCTAATGTTTGTATTTTAATAGAGACAGGGTTTTACCATGTTGGCCAGGCTGGTCTTGAACTCCTGACCTCAGGTGATCCGCCCACCTCAGCCTTCCAAAGTGCTGGGATTACAGGCGGGAGCCACCGCACCCAGCTTACTATTGTATTCTATTTCAATGTTTTGAAAATGCTTCAAAACTGATTTCATCACCTGTTAATAGGTCAAGACCTACAGTTCACAAAAACACTTTTAAGGCAAGAGAGAAGGGAGGAAGATTGATTAATTGATTCATTCAGGGAAGAGAAAAGAAATGTAAGATACCCCAAAGAGAAGAAAAAAGAATGGAAAATGTCAGAAGTGGGAGAAAGGATGAGAGGAAGAGGAATTCCATTTCCTATGATCTGTCTTACCCGGGCCAATGCCTGCTAATTGTAATAAGCACTCCCCTCTCCCCAAAAGACCTATCCAAATCCCTATGCTCTGGGCCTTCACCTCTTCTCAACATTCCTTATTCTCTTATTCTGTCATCTATTTCTCTTCAGTCATCTGAAGGCATGGTTTTTGCTCTAAGATCACTAAGTCCTTATGGTGAACCTAACTGGCTTCTTCCGTCTTGGTTCTTGTTTATTCTTCTGCCGATGGTTCCATTTGTTCTCTTTCCTTGCATGCCTAACTTCTAAAAATCTAACTCTGATTTCTTCTTCTCTCTTTCTCCTATTTGTGCCTCTCCCCTCTAACTGCCCATTGTAAGATCAGTGTAAACCACAAGCTTGAGTTCAAAAATTCAATGATACAAGCACTATAGAGGGTGAGCTGCTCAAGTGAAAAACTACAAGGGCATAGTGACTCAAACTTTGAGAGCTCCCAGCCCCTGGAGAAAATCTCTGAAGACCACCAAGATGGCTTGGCTTCCATTTTAAGGCACACTGACCTGGGAGTTCTGCTGTCTGTGGTTTTGAAAAGAGCTGATATCATCCTGTGAAACAACAGTGGATGCACGTAGTATCAAGAGAAAAGACAAACGATTGGAGAAGATTCTACGAACGACCTCATATGGACGAAGAAGGTTGTGAGGACACAGTGGGTAGAATGGAAGAGGAGTATCCCAGGAGGAAGCCTAGTCAGCAGGCTGGATCAATCCAGCCCTGAGAAAATTACCTACAGCAACAGGAAGGAAGAAAGGAGAGAAGACACGTTTCCAAAGAACCTCAAGATAGTGTCTTGGTATCCCTAGCCTGGACCAGGTTTTAGAAATCTTGCAAAGGCATAGGGATCCTGTTAAATCTGTTCTGAAGGTAGCACTGACCCATTCTTAATAGCTCTTACAAACTCAGAGCAGGCAGATAAAAATTAATTTACTCAAAAGGGGGAAAGCATAGGAGGGTTTTTGGGGATGTGGAACTGGAGCCTGGTTCACATTCAGCCAGGAACAGCTTGCCAGCCTTGGCTGTTAGTCCATTTTTTTTCATCCCGAGACAGGAAATTACATAAGGCCTAAAACATGCACCCCAACAACGCTATGACTGACTGCAGCTGTTCTGATAGAATTCCTGTATCCAGGCTCATTACATTAGGATTTGTGTGTTGCCAACACATGTTTCTTGAGCACCTACTCTATGCAAGATGTTATGTTCTGCTTTATGTGTGGACAGGGGTCAAGTAGAGGATATGCTGGACCTGAGCTGACATAGAAATGTGGTTTCCTTTTACCTCTTGCCAATTTCCCCAAGCACTCTCTATGCCTAGGTCAATTCTCTTATCTCCTCCTCAGACCCTAGCAGAACTCTTTATACCCAACCCTACCTACACCCTAGAAATAAAGGGCTGTCCTGATCTCTTTTTCCTGAGCTCTGCTACCTCTTGGCTTGATCTTGGGCTTAAAGGCTGTTAACATGATGCATTTTCTTGACAGAGAGAGAGAGAGAAAAGGAAAAGAAAGGAAAAAAAAAAAAAAACATGATAAAACATGAAGAAAGACACAGAACTTTCTTATTTCCCAAAGTGGGAAACTTCTTTTTTTAATGCCTGGCAGAGGAAGTATGGTTGCAAATGTTACCCGGCACTAAACCAGATTAATTTTCCATTCAGGAAGAAACGTAAGCAACTTGGGCTAACGGAGGCAAATTGCAGGGCCCTATTATTTAGCACGTTTGAAATGAAAGCCAATACTGCTATTGAATTGCTGGCGGAGGAGCTTTCTCTTCCTCTTGCTAACGCCCGCCCACAGGTTTCCTAGCAACCAAATTACATTGCGGAGAACACTCCCCAGCAATAACTGACCCTGAATTTTAATTTTTGTGCTGATGCATAAGTGGGATAAATAAATAAACAAATGCAATCACCCTGAAAGAGTATTGATCTTGACTCATCAGGAGCACGCGTAGATTATAGTACGGCAAATAGAGCAATGCAAAAAATTGGTAAAACCTCTATTTTGGAAGATTTTCTTTAAAAAATATAAAAAATTTAGGTAGTTCTTGTTGAAAAAATTAATAAAATGGTGGTATGAAGATAAGAATGGAAAGTAAACTTAACCCCCAAATCCTAAATTCTATAATAATATGAAGAATAAAATGGTAATTTTTATCATCCCTTAATTGAAATAGCTTTTCAAAAATGACACTAATTGCGATGCGCATAAATGGCTCTTGGACAGCCACATAGAAGCCCTAGCATTACCCTTCCTGCTCACATGTAGTAGAAATAATAATTTACATGCAAGGTAGAAAAAAAAAGGGCAGGTTGAGCTTGAGGTTTCACATCGACATGCAGTTGCTGCTTTGTGTTTTGAATATATCAGTTTGAATCAAAGGTGTTATCAGTAAACCCTTGCAGTTCCTATTGTCATTTATTCACAACTTTTGAAAATATGCCCTCATGTAGTTATTTAAGTTTTCTAATTCACCTTGGACTAGCAATGATTATTTTTACCATTCTGAAAATCATCTTTCTAGTCTGTTCTGAAGATGAAAGGAAAATGCAGTATAGTATACATCTTTTCATTTAATATGCAGTAATGTTTTTGCATAGAAACTGAAACTCTTACCTAGAAACATTCTTTTAGGTACTTACTAAAACAAATAGAGCTAGGGCTTAGGGTTCAAGTCCTGGCTTCCCGCACTTATCAGCTGTGGGACCCACTTAGTGTCTAGTCTTATTTCCACATCAGTAAAAGGAGATAGCATTAGCAATCATCTCATTGGGCAGTTCTGGGGTCTAAGTGAGATCACCCAGCACAACGCTGCTGTAAAGTAAGTCCTCAATTTCAGCCATTATTGAAAGCACAGTAAACTACACTATGCACTACAGTGCATAGCGTTGAGTGTTATGTTATGAGTGTTATGTTATGAGTGTTATGGGTAGTGTTATGAGTGTGGTGGAGGCTGTGACATGCTGCTCTGATCCCACTTCAGGAATGAAGGGACTATTCTCCCAGATGATGGGACTGCTGCCCCAAATGGACATCAGCTGTGAACTCTCTTTGGAGACTGCCTCACCCAAGAGCATGTGTTCTTCTGGGGCAGCCTGAAACCAAAGAGAAGTCCATCAGGAGGTATAAAGGTCTGGCCCCTTTGCCCCAGTCTAGGACAGCTGAGAGGGCCACCCCAATTCCAGAGTTCCCCCATGGGGTTGGGTAAGGCCTACATCACAGCTCAGCCTCTCCCTCCGTCTAACCCTGCTTCTTCTCTTCCTTTTGGCAGATGTTGATTTCAAGGGTGGTCCCTCATAAGCATCCTCCTTGCCAGTCTGCATCTCAGAGTCTGTCTCCTGGGGAACCAATCTGCAACAATGAGCCATCACAAATACATGTAAGAGGAATTTTAGTGATCATGGTATAATTGTATGTGAAAAAAGGAGGACACCAAATTCAATACGTGGGATAATCTCAACTGGGACAAATTATATTGATGTGAATGTGTGTGACTGAAAAACCAAAAAGTACACCAAGATTAAGCGTTCCTTTTGGGTAGGAGGATTCGAGATTATTTTTATTTTCTTTATACTTTTCTGTGCTTTCCAAGTTTACTACAAGCAACAAAGTACTTTTTCTATGTGTGGGGCTACATCTCCCAAGGGCTGAGCCCCATTCTCTACTTTACTTCCCTGAAGTAATTCAGCTTTTAGATACACATGAAGCAGAATGGGTCAATCTAGAATACTCCTCACCACCATAACTAGTCAGCCAACTCTCAAGTTTCCAATGGCTGGGAACTGTGTAGTTCTTAAGCTTTAGCTAAGGAAGCCTTTCTTCAGACAAAAGTTTACTTAATATGTAAGGCATCTAAAATCAGGACTTGAGAGAAGCCAAGATTGGGAATAGGTGGGGGAAGGAGAGAAAAGATGAAGCCTCTGCCCCATGGCCAAGTCTCTGAGAGGTCGCTCTGAAAACCCTGAAAGAGAATTAAGATTTTTTTAAATGCCACAGAGCCCTCACCTTCAATTTTGATAATGTGATTTGAAGGGCGAGACATAAACCCTGACTTCAGTCTAGTTGGAAAATCAGCAGTAAGAAATAAGAGACAATTAGAGAGTAGTAAATTTTTGTCACTGTAAATAAGTGCAGTAGGAATCCAGAAAAAAGTGACAAGCTTACCGGCTGGAATAATTTTAAAAGGCATCTTGAAAGAAGTGGGTCTTCACTCTATAGAAGGATAAGTGAAATGCAGCAAAGCGGAAAGCAAAAGAGAAGTCATCCGGGGTGAGGGCTGTGGCCAAAGCCAGAAGGGAAGTGGGTATTGGATCTTTCGGTACATGAAATAGTGCACTTCTTCCTTATTGAAGATAGGGATGGACTTGGAAAATGAGAAAGTAAGGTTGAGTCTACATGGTGGATAAGGCTTTTGGAGAGAAACAAAGCAGTGGAGCACAGACCTCCTGTTTAGGCAAAAGGGGGCCCCTGAGAGTTCTCGACAAGCTGAAGATAGTCTATGAAATAGCTTTGTCTGACCTCAATATATAAGGTAAGGGAGAATTAGTTGGAAGGCACCCAGGGAAGAAGCTGTGGCCCTTCTCACAGTGCCATGGCCCAACCTGGGGTAGGTTCTGGCAGAAGTTGACATTGAACTTGAGGGCAATGACCCTGTTTTTCTGATGCTTATGAAAACCAGCCACATCACATACAAACACTGCAAACTTTCTTCCTGGAAAGTTTTCTTTATTACTGTTATGTTTCTTATCCTGTGGTGCTCTACTGACAGCTGTCCCACTCCAAAAGAGTAACAAAAGCAGGAAGAAGTGAGGGGAGAGCCAGACACCTGAGTGAGCAGTTATCTCTGGAGCCCCCTCCCTGCCTTCTGCAACACTGAGCAAACAAGATGTTTAACAATTCTGCCTGGAGTGATCTGGAAGAACCCCAGAACGTCCCTCATTTTATGGCATCCAACAGATGAGTAAGTAGGGAGATAATAGCTATGAAATTATATGTGGATCTTTCGATCCCGTGCAGAAGTCAGTTCATTAGATTAGAATCAACCAACATTTACTGATGGCTCACCACGTGCTAGTTTGGCATGCATCTCGTGTAATCCTCAGCACTCTATGAGGTAGGTATTTTTACCCCCATTTTTCAGAAAACTGACATTTCGTACACATTCATCTCTATTTACCAAAATAATGGAACATTTAATCAGAATTTTTATTTTAAAATGAGTAATTCCTTCCCTTTACCTCAGTATATTTAAAAGATAAGTTTAGACAATAGGGCTTGACTATAGTTAATTGTAGAACAGCTGTTCAATAACTGGGCACTTTTTCCATGCATGGCACTAAACTACACGCTCTGGGGCAGAAAGCAAAGCCTGGCAAACATAATCACCGGCCCCAAATTGCTTACCCTGGAGTTAGGTAGACACCAAATGCACACAACAACATTAGATAACAGTCTAAGAAGGTATAACAGGACTCAGTGAAATTGCATTGAGGAGCGACCTGTCAAGTTCCAAACCAACAGGTATTTCTTGAACCCCAAACATCCAAAATAAGTAAGCCATTTTGGCTACATTTCTGCCAGTTATCTTTCCCATCAGTCAAAACCTTTTGAATTTTCCTTTTTATTGCTTCCCTTTTCATTTCCCCTTCCATTGACCTTGGTCAGGTGTTTCTCACCTCTTGCCTGGATTTTTTCTACAACCTCTGGGCTGGTATCCCAGCAAAGATGGCTGGTTCTTCCAGTCCAGTTCTTTAGCCCTGCCAGACTCACCTTGGCGAAATACTACCTGCTTGATGGCACTCCTGTGCTCCCAATCCTTCTGTGGCTCCCACCATGTGTAGGATGATGTCTAGATTGGCATTCAAGTTCTATTAATATTTTTAATTCATCTGGAGTTACCTATTCTCTGTTTCCCCAGCATGCTGTACCCATTACTGTCTCCTTGACTCAGTCCCACTTGTACCTCCTATCATGTCAAAGTCAGGCATCGCCTCCTGTATTGAACTCACTCCAGTCTCAGTATTTCATCAGCTTTTCCTCACATACCTCCTTGGACTATGTTCTATGCACTTAGTATCTATCCAACTCACCAGCAAGCAGTTTAGGGCCAGTGATTGCCTCTGACAGACTCTGCTTTCTTCCCCAGAGCCCTTTGTTTAGTTTACATAGAGTGAGTGCCTGGTTATTTAATAGCTATTGAACAAAACTCTGTAGAGTCAAACTTTATTGTCTAAAGGTAACACAAACTTGCCCTTTACATTTCCTAATTTTTGTATTTGATTCTGCAACATCCTTATTGCATGAGTTCTGGGATTTTGCCATCTCTGGGTAACTCAATTATAATCTGCAACTCTTAAAGTCTACAACTTGCACTCTGTCAGTAATGTCCAATGGAATGTCCTATATTTCTACCTGTGCTGTCCAGTTTAGTGACACCTGGCCACATGTGGCCATTGGGCACTTGAATTGTGTCTAGCGCAACTGAATTTTTAATTTTATTTAATTTTCATTAATTTAAATAGCCACATGTGGCTAGTGACAATTGTACTGGACAGTGCAGGTCTAAGTATTTATGAATAAAAAAAGAAAAGAAGATAAGACAGTATCAGCCCCAGAGCTTTTCAATAGCCACTCTAAACTGTAAATAATTCACAAAAGTATTGAGCTGCGAAGTCACAAGTTTCCATGGCCTTCTCACCCATACGACATACAGTTTCAGCTAGGTGTATATCTACTGGCTGCCTGTTGACAAACATTCCTATTTTTATTACCTCATCTAGAATTCCAAAAGCCCAGCTCAGGTGATTACACAGGGAGACAGAATAAAATTCTCCCACACAGCACTCCCTAATAACTACAGGTGATCTCATGAAACCAGCTCATACTTGAGGGTCCCATTTGAAGAACCCTGCCAAGACCTCTATTTTTATCTTTATGTATGTGATTTCCTATTTTAGCTTCAAATAAGTATTTTACGAAAAATAATACAATTACCGGCCATAATGTGTGTTAATGAAGGGCAGGCATAGCAAAGATTCATCAGTTCACCCATAATCCCTACCTCAGACAAACATTCCCGTCCTCACCAAGGTATCCCAGTTAATATGTGGACAGGTTGGCTAATGTCAAACTCAGCCCTTAACAAAAATAAGAGATAACAATTATTGAATGTTTATAATTCTTAGAAGCAATCAATATGTATTATGCTATTTATTGCATTCAACAATCCTTTGAGGCAGCTATTACTATCAATCCCATTTTACAGATGAGGAATTGAGGCACAAAGGGGTTATAGGATGTGCCCAGGTTAATGAAGCTAGCACTTGCAGAGCCAGGATTTGCACCCAGGCATTGTAACTCCACTGCTTGTACTCTTAATCACTCTACTATTTTCTTACTGAACCCCACCTGAGGTATTTATACTAATTCATCCATTCATTTTAAACTCAGTATGTAATGAGCACTAGCTTCTCATGTGTATCAGGCACTGTGCTAGCTATGGTGTGAACAAGCAATGGGTTCCCTTGTACAGCTATAGCCTAGGACCCTAAGAACTCAATCACATTGGCTGATCATCACCACTGGGTTTGCTCCGAGGATCTTATCATCTACATGAGAGGGAAAGATCACTAAGGAAAAAAGACCATTAGGCACCATTAAGGACACACGTCAGGTGAGTGTTAGGAATATATTTCTTAGAATATCAGGTTTAGGGCTGAGCCTTAAAGACTTGAATGAATGATTCAAACTTTAAATGAATTAAACCCCTAATAGAATAAAGAGGCCAACCCAGGGCAATTTCAAGCCTACCCAGCAAAACCCCAACTTCCCTCAAGGGGCAACCCTTCCTGCTCCCTAAGTGGAGTGCGTGGAATGTGCCTTCTCTTAGGAATATCCTTTCCCACTTCTCCACCTGGCTGACTCCTTCTTAGACATCATTTAGGACTTTGCTACTTGAAATGTGGACCTTGGACCAGCAGCATTGGCATTACTTGGGAGCTTGTTAAAAACGCAAAATCTCAGGCTCCACCCAACCCTGCTGAATCAGAACCTGCATTTTAACACGATCCCCAAGTGCTTTTTGCATCCGTTACAATCGGAGACGCACCAAAGTAAGACATAGCTCAGATATTATCACTTCCTTGAACCCCTGGCTTCGGTGAGGTTCTTCTCCAGGGAGTGCCCACAGTGCCCTGGTCTTGGGCCCACCACAGCACTCACCACACTGAAATGTGTTTGTTGGTTCTCTGTCTCCTACCTGGATGGGCAGCAAAGGTGTCTTATTTATCTTGGCTTCTCCAGTGCCTATAACAATACTGAGTAAACATCAGTTGAAGGAACGAATGAGTGGCTCTGAAGAAAGGTGAAAGCACTCTGGAAAATTAGCATTATGTTGCTAGGAGCCCATCTGGAACCTAATACTTGACATTTCTCTCTCTCAGCTGCTCCAGCTGCCCCCTGCATACATGAACGATTTCTCTAAATGCACCTAACTTCAGCCTTCAGGCCTGAGCCAGCGTTTAGGGTTCTCTGAGTCTTCTGCTTTTAAGCCACCTCATCACGGAACCCAGTAGGAAAACCCCAACAAACAAGGGCGGGCCCTCTGCTGCTTGGCACAGCCACCTCAACAAAAGCTGGGCACTTCCTGTAAGGCCCAACCCTGGGCCTGGCATCCCATCCTGCAGGGGGATCGCCCCTCTCCCTGCTTCTGCTCACCACCTCCGGCACTTCCCCCGGTTACTTGGGTTGCTGCAGGAGCTGGGAGCACACCTTGCAGCTGCGGCAGCTTCAGAAGCTCAGATTTAACAAATGCTGGGCCGGCCTCAAAGTTAACTTCAGTTCAGTTTTCAAAGATCCTGCAAACAGCAGAAGGAGACCAGCCTGCTTCTTGTTTCTTGTCAAAGAGCGCTGTTCCCTAATTAGCCTCTCATGCTAACTTGGGGGAGCATCTCTATTCTTAGATAATACAGAAAACTGGTTTTACCCCTTAATAGTGTCTTTCTTTCTTTTGTAAATAGTTTTTTAATAAACATTTTGGTAGCTACATGAGGTTGGGTAATGCCCAAGGCTTTACCAACCTCATTGTGATATTTTTTTCACTTGTAACATATGTGACCACAGATGCTGCCACAGGCGTCACGTGGCCCCCTCACTGTAGCTGGGAGGGGACACACCTCCCATTTCCCTCTGACCACTGGGCTTTGTCTTTTCTCTCTCCTGTCTAAATTACTGAGCTGTCAGATCTAAAAGGACTGTAAAGAATAGAGATGTCATTGCCCTCTTATTTTAAAAAATTAGTAAAACAAATTGCTTTAAGTTTTCTAAACTTTTCAAAGCATTTTTAATGCAATACGTCTACATGCTAATTGTAGAAAATGTGGAAAAGCCAGAAAAGCATAAATTACCCATAATGCTACAATACAGAGAAAAATCACTCAACATCTCGGTAAATTTCTCACTAAACTTCATGTATCCAGAATAATGCATGTGAATGACTAGCGATGGAGCTGTCCTCCACCTTCCAGCCCCCACTGATACTTCAGGAACTTGGTAATAATACAAACCTGCACTTTATGCAGTTTGGAGTTTTATTCCTACTTACAAGATTATGAGTGGGTTTATTGTACTTCTATAGTTGAGCTGAAACTACGGCAGTCCCTTCTCACCTGCACTTTCACTTTCCAACGTTTTAGTTATTTGCAGTCAACTGCAGTCTGAAAATAGTAAATGAAAAATTCCAGAAATAAACAATTCATAAGTTTAAAATCGTGCAATATTCTAAGGTGCTTGATGAACTCCCACGCTGTCCCACTAGGTCCTCCTGAAATGTGAAATATCCTTTTGTCCAGAATACCCACGATGTATACCACATAGTAGTTGTTTTGGTTATCAGTTTGAAAAAACAGAGAATATATAGGATTCAGTACTATTTGAGGTTTCAGGCATCTGGTGGGGGGTCTTGGAAGGCATCCCATGCAGATAAGCAGATAAGAGGGGACTACTGTGCATACAACTTTGTATACTTCCTTTTTTTTTTTTTTTTTTTTGCTTAAAGGAATATCAAGAGAATTTGCTCATGTTAACACTTTTTTCCCCCATTTTCTAATTTGTCAAATGAGTTTAAATGAGGTGATAAAATTGTTGGAAGTTGGGAGGTTACTAATCTGTTGTAATAAGATTTAAATAAAATAATATATTTTCAAAGTGCTTAGCTTGGGGCCTGGCATATAGTAAACTCTTCATAAATGGTAGCTATGACCATAGATTATTACTAAAATCTCATTTTAATGCCAGCATATTTCATTCTAAGTAGCATATTTAACCACCCACCCTTTTATTGTTCTGAGCTTGTTTCCAATTCTCCCCATTAAAAATTGTAGCACTGCAAGGATATCTTTGAGTATAACTTTTTGTTTCCTTTACAAAATTATTATTTCTTTAAAATAGATGACTCGGTTGAAAGATATAAACATTTTAAAGGCTTTTTGTTATATATTGACAAATAACTTCCCAGTGTTAATAACACTCAGTATTAATAACTGGCAGAAAATTTGGTACTAGGAAGTTATTTATCTATGTATAATAAAAATTGTATCAAATTTCTGGCCAACCACAAACGGGATTGCCCATCTTTCTGCATCCTCACCAGTAGTCAATCTTCTTTTTAAATCTACAAACGTAGCAGGTGAAAATTTGATTTTGTTGTTCTTTGAATTTGTATTTCTTGAAATTACCAATGAAGTAAAAATATCTTCATTAACCATCTGTATTGAATTATCTCTTCATGATCCGTACAGTAAAAGATATTTTATCAGTCAAATACCCTAATGGTTTGGATTTTCTTTTGTGTGTGGTATTTCTCATCTCAAAACCTGTCAGAAACACACTCACTTCCTACACACAACTAGAAAGGCTATCAGTAAGACTATTTGGGATTTTGCCAGAGATGCCTTTAAATTTAATCATACAACTACTAAATATTATATTTGACAAAGATTCACTCTATGTATCCATACAGTGGTTCTTAACCACAGATTCTATCCAGGATGGGTGAGAAAGAAAGGGGTGGGAATAACCAGAGCCCAGGCTGCAGCTGTAACCCACAGCCCATCTGACCTGTGCTCCGCCCTAAGTGAGCATCTGAGCCCAGGCCATGCAAACAGAAACTCAGGACTCAGAGGGACACCCACCTCTCCCAGCTAGCATCTGGTCACAAACTGAGTAGCAGAGCTAGGATTCAACACTGGGCCGCGTGGGCCCCAAAGTGGATGCTCTTGGCCCACCAAACCACACAGGGTCCCTTAAAAACAGGGTCTCTGAACATGAGAATATCCAAAGTTTATATTCTGAGAGCCTCAATAAGATTTTTATGAGGAAGGCATCTTACTAATTTTTATCCTCAAAGTAAAATTGCTGTCTCCAGGAAGGAAATGCATTTCCTTGTGAACGCTTGCCGGGGTCCTTTAATTCTAAGAGAGAAACTGAGGTCGAGTGTCATCCTGGCTCCCAGAGAGGCATTTATTCTTACTGTGACTCAATTTCCTCTCGTAAAAAAGGGAAAACATTCCAACCTCTCCCAGAAAGATGGCGAAGATGCTGGGCTTTGTTGGTCCTTGCACGGGGAAAATGACTGTGGAATACCAGATCCTGAGGACTGTTTTGTAGAGATTATATAGCATCTGTCATTCACACAATGCCTGCTGATTAATAACGATTGAAATTATTGTGAAAGTAATTTGCAAGTACAAAGCAGGATCTGCATAAATCTTGCCAAGAGTTCTGAATACCAGTCCCAGTAAAGTTTTAACCAAGAGAGCAGGCATTTTTCCCACCAGTCCCTCAACCCTCACAAGTGTCAAGTCACTCACTAACAGAATGTATACTCCACCATTTAACAGTGACTTGATTTCTTTTAGGGGCTGATCTAATTTCTGGAGGATACTGCTCCACGATGCCATGTTAATTCATATGATTGATTTAATGCATCTCTCCCTTCCAGTATGGAGAGCCATAAAAATACTCATCTTTCTGAGCTACAGAAATTGGTTTTCTAGTTTATGTTCTGCAGAAGTACTCAATGCTGTTCGTCAGAAAGGAATTGAGACTACATGCTTCTGTCTCTGAATCTGAACCAAGGGGGATATAAAGTGTGTCTTGATAGACCCCAATGACTCAGATGGTGCTGCTTTAAATTTTCAAGTTGGATTTAAACTCAGGAACCAATTTTACCAGTTGAGATGTCCAAAACAGGTTTGCTTCAGCAGAGCAAGCTGAAGTTAGCTGCTTTGCCTGAATTAAACAAATGCTGGCAGTGCTATCAGGACCCTGGCATGGCCAGATGGCAATTGCCACACCTTGCCAGTTACCAATCAGCGTTCAACAGCTGGGCTTGACCAAACAGCAACTGTCCTTGACCCTGGCTTCTGATCATCTGTTGGCTATAAATAGAAGTGGGGTGTCATGAAAAGAGAGCAAAGTACTTGATGCTAGCAATTCAGGAAATCCATCTGAAAAACAACATAGCCAGCTCAATGTATTGAGCTAGTTTCAGGATTACTTAAGAATGGAAAAACATAAAGTCTAAGAATAAGACATTATTCCAACATTGAGATGCCTGCAGCAAAAAAACAATGTGTGCTTTTACGAAATGAAGGCTAGACTATTTCCAGATTATGTATGTAGTCATATTGAAGACACCAAGTATCAGCATTTGAAGTCCCCTGGGTTTGACAGATAACAACTGTTAGAGTTTGTTTAAGAAAATAGGAAAGCATATCCAAAATCTAGTGTCTTACTTTTCCTGTACCAAAAAATATGCAGGCAAAAAAAAAAAAAAAAAATGCAGTAGCCCACAGTTCTGCTTCATGTGATGTCACTTAACGTATTCATTAGACATCATATTAGAGCTAAAAAACTGACAGATGAGTGTTTTATTGACTACATCAGATCTGGGTAGTCCTAAAATAAAGCACTGGGAAGAGAATCTCTATGTGTTATGCAGCTAAATATTCACATTGTCCAAAGACAAAAGACAGACGGTGGGAAAGAAGCAGACAATGACATTTTTAGAAACAAAACTGAAATTACCTTAGATCTGCTGGACGAGATGGAAACCACACATTCAGGAGAAAATGCAAACACAATCCAGCAAGAAAGGAAAGAGCAACAAGGTGGAATCAAAAAAACAAAAGAAAAGAGCTGAGTTTAAGCTCCAGAGAGATTTAAATTAAACTGCCCTTGTCCTTTTGCAGGGCCCTGCTTTTAAAGGTTAAGGCACAAACACAGGCAGGCCTTGCAGCCTCCTCTCTGTGTCCCCTCTCACTCTAGACAGCTGGGGATGTCTTTCATGTCTGACAACTGCGGTGGGAGAGTGTGTGGACAGAACCAGCAACTGTGGGCTTGGCGGGACTCCACGAAGCCAAGGACGGGCCAGCAGGGCAAGCCTGGTAGTGCATAGCTTCTTCTTCCTCATTTATAATACAATGGATCCAACTTTTTCTTAACTGCCGAACGGTTCACCTTGCCTAGAGAAAGCCGATTTATCAAGACAGGGAAACTGCAATGGGGAAAGAGTAATTCATGCATGGCCCACTGTGCAGGAGACCGGAGTTTTATTATTACTCAAATCAGTCTCTCGGAGCATTTGGGGATCGGAGTTTTTAAGGACAATTTGGCGGCCAGGAGCTCAGGAAGTGGGGAGTGCTGACTGGTCAGGTTAGAGATGGAATCATAGGGGGTTGAAGTGAATATTTTTTGCTGTCTTCTGTTCCTGGGTGAGATCAAAGAACTGGTTGAGCCAGATTACGCGTCTGGGTGGTATCAGCTGGTGCATGAAGTGCAGAGTCTGCAAAATATCTCGGGCACTAATCTTGACTTTTACAATAGTGATGGTATTCCCAGGAGCAATTTGGGGAGGTTCAGACTCTTGCAGTCAGAGGTTGCATTGTCCCTAAACCATAATTTTTAATCTTGTAGCTAATCTCTTAGTCCTACAAAGGCAGACTGGTTCCAGTCAAAGGGCTATTATTTAGTTTGTTTCAGAGTTAAACTATAAACAACTAAATTTCTTTCTAAGCTTAGTTTGCCCTGTGCCCAGGAATGAACAAGGACAGCTTAAAGGTTAGAAGCAAGATGGAGTTGGTTAGGTCTGATGTCTTTCACTGTCATAATTTCCTCAGTTACAATTTTTGCAAAGGCAGTTTCACTTTGTGCTCAGAGGACCTTCTTTCAAAGTCAAAAATGGTTCTTGGTGTACAAGTAGTTAGACTTTCAGTGACTTGAGTGATGAAAAGACTGAAAGCTACTAGGGATCAGTAGGGCTTTTAAATATAATTTATATTTGGTTCCTTATCACACCATCTATATAGATTTGGGAACAAGTCGTATAAAGTCTGTGAAATTTTTGAAATAACTGAAACAAGTTATCGTTTCAGTCTACAGATGGATTGGAGGTCACGTGATCTGGCTTTGGTGCTGACTGCTGGAGGATGTTTGTGGTGATGGAAATTTGAAATTCCTGTGGTGGCCTTTTCCCTGATTTCAGGGGCATTGATGTCTTTTTTTTTGAAATGTGCCTCTGTGGTGGGATTTGACAAAGAATTAGTTTGTTTTTTGGTTGTTTTCCATTACCCAATCAAACTAATCTCAATCCAAATTCAGACGACCCCTTTTCCCTTTCCCTCACAAAATCTTTCTTTTCTCCAAAGTCTTACACATATTGGCCCCAGGTTTTGGGTCACTGTTCACTCACTGAGAAGCTAAGGAAACAAATATTGTCTTAGCAATGAAGGTAATTCTCTCACAGTCTGGTACTTGAAAAGCAAACCGAGAAACTGTGATAAACAGCAATTGGCAGAGTTCTCCGTTTCAGAAGAATTCCCGTACTTGTGCAAGTGTCTCTCAGAAGGTAGGCTTGTAACTTTCTAGGGGACTGCAGCTGGCTCTCCCACTCTGGGATAGACCTCCTGATAAGGCTGATTTTCCACAATTCAGGTTCTCTGAGGACTGCCCACCCAAATCCATTGCCAAACATTTTTTACTTTGTAGGCTATTCTAATTGGTAATAAAAACTGACAGGTTTATCAAAGAGAAACATAAGTATGTTGGCATTGGAAAGAAACTTGGGAAGTCTGCTCCTCGAATTTTATACACCACGAAATAGAAATCTGAGTTTTTAGAGCCTATGACAGATTTTGACAATGCCATTCCTCAGTTGTTTTCCTCAAAGATGTTAACAATGTATGAGCCAGGCACCAACTAAAGTATTAAATAGAAACACCTTTGTTACTTAAAAGCAACTAAGATGGGGCCTTTTAGGGAGTAATCCACACTTTGTGTCACATACTTTTGCTTTGTTGATGGGAGTGGACTTCCCTGGAACAGCCGTGTGAGGCCTGGTGGCCTCTTGGTGGCCAATCAAACCGGGACCAGCAATGGCATGGCATCTGATTTTCCCATTCTGAGCTCCTGTCCCATTTTCCACCCTATCCCAGAAACTTTGAAGTCACCTAAAATGGTGACCTGCCTCAGATTTTACTGAGGTGAGATCACCATTGAAGGCAACCAAGTTACTTTGCCAACTTTAACATTTCTCTTATCTTTCTCTGCAAGCCAAAGACTGACAAAATGAGTATGATCGAAATGGATAACTTCATAGGTGTCAAGCAGGGTGTATTGGTGGGGATTACCCAGAGAAACAGAACCAATAGGAGACATATAATAAGACATTCATAGCAAAGAACTGCTTTATGTGATTCTGGGGGCTGGGTAGGCAAGACTAAAATCCGCAGGTCCAGGAGGACTGGCAGGCTGAACTCTTGGGCAGGAGCTGGAGCTGCAGTTTTAGGCAGAATTTTTTCTTCTTCAAAGAAACCTCAGCTTTGCTCTTAAGGCTTTTCAACTGATTGAATCAGGCCACCCAGGTTATTGAGGAAAATTTCCTTACTTACAGTCAACTGATTTTGGACTTTAACTACCATCCATAAAATACCTGTGTTGGGGCACCTAGATTAGTATTTGATTGAATAACTGGGGAGTGGGCCTAAGTTAACACATATAACTAACCATCACAGAGCTGGTGACGTGGTATGCATCTGTAGGTCCAGCTACTTGGGAGGCTGATGCAGGAGGATTGCTTGAGCCCAGGAGTTTGGAGCTGTAGCGTGTTATGATTGCACCTGTGAATAGCCACTGCACTCCAGCCTGACAACATAGAGACACCCTGTCTCTAAAACAAATAAGCAAACACATGCACACAAACCTGATGATCACAGAGGAGGGTGGAATATTTCCACACTGAAGAAGTGTCACAGTGTTCCCAGCTATTCTTATTATAGTGTCAGGCACAAAGTTGACAACCAGTAAATATTTTTGAATAAATGAATGAATGAGTGAATAAGATCATGACAAGGATGTAGGGTACAGGGTCTAAACCCTTTGCTGGGTGAGGGGGTGAGAGGCATTGGGCCAAATCACAGTGGCTGAAGGACCCAGGGGAGCCCCAGGAGTGTGGGTGATTGTTGGGTTTGCAGTTGGGGCATGTCACCCTTACCAATTTTACGGGAGCAAAGGAAGTAAACTTTTCACAAAGGACCTCATCAGAAGGAAAAAATTCATAAAGCACAAACAAATATGCATGTGGAGAAGGGGAGACCCTCTTCAGCTGATGGGAAGTCAGGGCAGGAGGAAGGCTATGAGGAGGAACTTCCAAGGTTCTCCATCACCTCCGTTGTCAAAGCTTCTCCTCTGCTCTCTCACGTCCTCTCCTGGCCAGAAAGACCAACAATGGAACTAGTGGCTGCAAACCTCAGTGTGTGCAAAGGGCAAGGCTGGTGGGAATCTTGGCACTCCTACCCACTATCTGGCTGTGGGGCTTTGGGAAAAGATACCTCTCTCCATGATCCTTAGTTTCCCGACCTGTAAATGTTGGTAATAATACGAACTGTCTGGGCCATGGAAGGATTATAGGAACAAATCCTTTGTTCCTGTGGATCAAACTCTTCAGTTGAACAATTTGTCCCTGCCTTATAGGATCAACGGATCCTTATGTGTTGACAGCAGTGGTGAATTTACCTGGAAACTAATAAGCTTAAGCTTAAGCTTCAGGGCATGCTTCACTTGCATAGGCTCCTTCCATGGTTCAGAGTATCCTGCAGGGATATGAAAAAGCCAGCAGCCAGCGGAGTGCCACAGCATGGAGTGCCACTGCAGCCTGGGTTACCCTCTCTGTGTCTTGGGGTAGTCCTGGGGCTACCAGCACTACTTCCACTTTCAGCTGATTCCAGGAACCACTTGTCCCTTAGGAACTATTTGAGTGAATTGCTCTGTGCAGAGGAGGAGGTATGCAAGTTTTAACAAATGTTAATTGCAATTACTATTGAAAAGCTGTATATGGTACTTGGGTCAGTACAGGGTAAATAGTAGATGAAAAGATTGACGTAGAACTCTAAATACTCTTGGGGGTGAATTCTATCCTGTCTGCATGTTCCTTCTCTTACTAAAATAAACTATTTTTATTGAACTTCTAATTGTGTTCTTTTATTCCAGATATAATAGGTAAAAATAGTGGATTTGCTGGCTTAGTGTTAAAAATAAAACATAAAACATTAGTTATCCTAATAACTAGATCCCACAGACTACTTTCTGGGTAACAAGAAATTGAGAATGGAGTTGAGTGGGCAGAATAAAGAGATGAAGTGAACAAATCAAGTCGAGAACATTTACAATGGAGCTCAGCCAATGCTCATCTCTTCCAAACATCTGCCAACCCCTTTCCCAGCTGAATGAAGACTTCACACTTTCACCTCCAATTGTTGGAAAAATTATGAGAGGATGTCCAGCCCTATTTTTTAGAACTGGACTAGGTTGCTTCCATTATTATCACCAGGGCCTTGGGTCCAACTACACTGAGTGCCTTATAGAAATTATGAAATATGCCACTCTGCTACTGTCGTGATTTCAAATGTGATGAGAATATTTGAAAAGCATTAACGTCTTGCCCTGTAAGAAGGAGACAGTGGAAAGGAAAATTAAACTTGAGAAGCAGCAGGCAATTTCCAACTGTCATTATCCAAAATAATCCAGCAGTTTGGAGTATACTACAAAGGCTTGTACTCGGAAAATGGGGGGAAAAAACATAATATGTTAAAGCAATAGTATTTACTGCCACAAAAGAAAAATCTCATTGGCCAAACTGAAAAAACATTTGTTTCTAACTCTTGTTAAATCTTACATAGGTCAGGTTGTCCTACTCCATCTTGTAGGCTCTGCCATCTAGAATCTGTAGCCTGCAAGACCATCTCACAAGAGAATCGAATGATGCAGAATACACTCCAGCTACCATCTTAGTACTTGTTTCTGTTCACTTTTTGCTGGCCAGCAACAGTCACATGGCCATAGCTAACTGCAAGGAAGGCTGGGAAATATAGAGGAGGACACAGATGCTTGGTGGTCACCTACTGCCTTCAGCACACATTGAAATAACTAGGGACAAGATGATTGACAACGGCTCGTTAATTGATTCATTCAATGAGTTTTGTTTTGGGTTTTTTTGAGGATGTATTTTGTGTCAGACCCTGTTCTAGACACCAGGGACTTA
Source organism: Homo sapiens (assembly GCF_000001405.40). Taxonomy (NCBI): domain Eukaryota; kingdom Metazoa; phylum Chordata; class Mammalia; order Primates; family Hominidae; genus Homo; species Homo sapiens. The sequence goes on along the minus strand of NW_017363813.1, from coordinate 145,066 downwards.
GCACAATGTTCCAGAACACAATGGACATGGTTCTGACCATTGTGAAGCTTTCAGCCTAACGTGGGAGAAAGACATCAAACACGTACTTATGCCATTAATTAACATCATGCAGAGTGTTAAATTGGAAGCAAACATTTTTATGCACTGTGGATGATGGCCATTTGTCCACACTTTTCCAGGAAATTTTGCTTTTAAGTGGTGTGTGCTATTTTCAGACTGTAGGTTCTCTTTCTACTAAATTTCTATTTCTATTGTCTCCTTAATTATAAGAGAGAAACTAAAGCACAGCATAGAGACAGAAAGCCATCTCACCTGAACTGTGCCAATGGCATCCTCCCTGGCTTTACCACTTCCCTCACACTCCATCCCTCACAGCCTATTTGCCACACTGCAGTATATTTTGGTCTTTGTAAATGGGAAATCGGGGCATGTTATCTGCTCAAACCCCTGCAATTACTCTCCATTTTACTCAGTAAAAATCCGAAGTCATCCCAATGGGGCTCTGCCAGCCCCACATTATCCGGCCCCCGCCTGCTCCTTAGACATCATGCTCCCTGCCTCGCTCACTCATTCTGCCTCTGCCACCTACATCTCCATGCTGCTCTTCAAATGCACCACTCACATGCTTGCCAAGGGGCCTTTGCTCTGCCCAGAACTCTTTTTCTCCAGATATCCATATGGTTCATTTCTTCCCTTCCTGAAAGTCTCAACTGACATACACATCACCCTATTAAAGAGGCCTTTAAGATGCATATTCCCCCTTTGAAAGAGTCCCCTCTTCTCTACCCTTGTCACCCCCTTTGTTTCTTCTTTCAAGCTGCTGGTACTTCCTGCAAATTCTGATCCTGACATGTTTCCTCCCTTTCTCCCTCCCTCCCTCCCTCCCTCTTTTTTCTTTCTTTCTTCCTTTTTTTTCTCTCTCTCTCTTTTTATAACAGCTTTATATTTATATAATTCATCTACTATAAAAGTCACCCATTTTAAAAGCACACAGTTCAATGGTATCTTAGTATATTCACAGTTGTGCACACATCACCACAATCAATTATAGAACATTTTTGTCCCCTCAGAAAGAAACCCTGTCCCCTATAGCTATTACTCTCAAATTCACTCCAGCCTTAAGCTCAGGCCTAAGCTACCACTAATCTACACTATGTCTCCATATATTTGCTTATTCTGTACATCTCATATACATGAAATCATATAATATATGGCGTTTTGTGACTGGTTGCTTTCACTTAGCATAATGTTTTCAAGGTTCATCCACACAGTAGCATATATCAGTACTTCATTTTTTTCATGCATTAATAATATTCCATTGTGTGGATACACCACATTTTGTTTATTCATCAATTGATGGACATTTGGGTTGTTTCCTTCTTTTGGCTATTACGGATAATATTGCTGTAAATATTTATGTACAAGTTTTTGTGTGGACATGTTTTCATTTCTCTTGGGTATATACCTAGGAGAATTGCTGTGCCAAATGTAACTAGGTTTAAACACTTGAAGAACTGCCAAACTGTTTTCCGAAGTGGCTTCACCATTTTTTATTCACACTAGTAATGTCTGATTACTAATGTCTGTTTAACGTTTTTTCCAGTTTTTCCACATCCTAGTCAACTCTTGTTATCTGACTTTTAAATTATAAATATCCTGGTGGGAGTGAAGTGGCATATCATTGTGATTTCAATTTGCATTTCCCCAATGGCTAATGATACTGAACCTCTTTTCATGTGTTTATTTGTACATCTTTCTTGAAGAAATGCCTATTCAAATCTGTTGCTCATTTTAAATTGGAATATTTGTCTTTTTCTTAGTCAGTTGCAAGAGTTCTTTTCATATTCTAGATTTAAGTTCCTTATCAGATATATGATTTGTAAATATTTTCTTCCCTTCTTTAGGGATGTCTTTTCACTCTCTTGATGTTCTTGAAGGCCCACAAGTTTTTCACTTTAGTGAAGAACATTTTAAGTATATTTTCTTTTGTTGCTTGTGCTTTTAATGTTATATCAAGGAATCCATTGCCAAATTCAAGGTCAAGAAGATTTACCCCTGGGTTTTCTTCTAAAAGTTTTATATTTTGGCTCTCACATACAAGCCTTTGATCCATTTTGAGTCAATTTTCATACGTAGTGAGAGGTAAAGATCCAAATCCATTCACTTGCATATGGCTATCCAGGTGACCTGTAAGTTTATACTATGCAAGTATCACACTATCTTGATTACTGTTGCTTAATAGTAACTTTTAAAATCAGAAAGTGTAGGCCAGGCATGATAGCTCACGCCTGTAATCCCAGCACTTTGGGAGGCCAAGGCGGGTGGATCACTTGAGGTCAGGAGTTCAAGACCTGGCCAACATGGTGAAACTCTGTCTCTACTAAAAATACAAAAATTAACTGTGTGTGGTGGTGCATGCAAATCCCAGCTACTTGGGAGGTTAAGGCAGGAAAATCACTTGATCCCAGGAGGCGGAGGTTGCAGTGAGCCGTGATCGCACCATTGCACTCCAGCCTGGGCGACAGAGTGGGACTCCATCTCCAAATCAAATCAAATCAGAAAGTGTGAGTCTTCCAACTTTGTTCTTGTTTTTCAAGATTATTTTATTTATTTGGGGGTCCCTTTCAATTCCATATATACATTTTAGGATTATCTTGTAAATTTTGACAAAGGAGCCAACTGGGATTCTGATAGGGTTTGAGTCTGTAGATCAGTTTAAGGAGTGTTGCCATCTTAACAATGAATCTTCTGATTCATGAACATGGAATATCTTTTTATTTATCTAGCCCTTTGTTAATTTCTTTCAACAATATTATGCAGTTTTTGGAGTACATATTTTGCAATTCTTTTGTTAAATTTATTCCTAAGTATTTTATTCTATTTGATGCTGTTATAAATACAATTATTTTCTTATTTTTTTCATACTGTTCATTGCAAGTATATAAAAATATATTGAGTTTTGTATATTGATCTTGTATCTTGCAACGTTGTCAAACCACTTATTTGTTCAAATGGTGTTTTAGTGGATTCTTTAGAATCCTCTACATACAAAATTATGTCATCTCAAACCTTTCTTTACAATATGATGTCTTTTACTTCATTTTCTTACTGCTGTCATTCTTCACCTTTCTTATCCCACTTTATTTTTCTTAGTCTTTACCATTACCAATTCTATTGGCTATTTATCTATCTATAACTGCTCTCACCACTAAGTAAGCTCCCTGAACACTAGTGCTTTCTCCACTCTGTTCACTGCCTTCTCAGGTTCTAGAACAAAGTCTGGAACATAATTGGTGCTCAAAAAATATTTAGGTTCTTCGTTAGCTTTCAGCATGAATCCCTCGGCTCTGCCTGGAGTTGAGGTCAGACTCAGTCAGAGCAGTTCAGGGCATTAGGGCCACTGCTCTAGGATATATACTTTTTCAGAAATCAGTTCAAGGCATTGTTACTAACAAACAACAAACGACAGCAACAAAACTTCTTTCCAACTGTAATTACTCACAGCGAGTCAGCTTGCATCTGAGGCTTTAAAATGGAAGTCTACAAGATCCCTTATTGTTTCTTTGACCTTCAAGATTGTATGTTTTGCCATCACCTGACAATCTAGGGCAGAGGGACCCCTTGTGGCCACGAAGTAATGGCAGGAGCTAAGAGGCCTTTGGATTTTTTTTTTTTTTTTTTTTTTTTGAGACAACCTCTCACTATATTGCCCAGGCTGGCCTTGAACTCCTGGGCTCAAGGGATTCTCCTACCTCAGTCTCCCAAGTAGCTGAGATTACAGGTGCACACAACAGCACTCAGCTACGGCCACTACACTGGACAGAAACCATCTGCACAAAGACCTGTCCACATGCCATCCCACCATCTTTCCTGCCAACCAACCTCTTCTTTGCCAGTGTTTCTGTTGTTTCACCTGAATCATCCTTGTCGCTCTAACAAAAGGCCGTTAATCAAAGCGATAGAGAGGGATGGGAGAGGCTTTCTGTAAGGCTAAAAATAAGCAAGGAAGAACTAGTCTGGAACAAAGAGTGAGTGGTTTGGGCTCTGTGACACAAAGTAAGACCTTCAGAATCCAGGCAGGTAGCCAGTGGCCACCCAGCAGATGGGCTATTGGTAAATCTGCAGCCTTCTTCTCTCACCCACCCAAGTCAGGGAAACTGAGGAGAAGGACATCATAGGGATTCTTTTGGCTGTATCCTCATTATGAAAAGAAATGAGTCATTATAGGTAACTAAACAAAGTCAAAATTATTTTGCAAAGTATGGGGGAGATTTTCAGACATTTAGGGTGTGGTAAAGAATTGTTCTCACAAAAAGTCATCCCAGGTTTTCATTTGACCCAGAGTAAGTTCAGGAAAATTAAGTGCAATTCCCATGCCAAATATAAGAAAAAAGAAAGAGAAATCCAAAGTACTCCTAAAGAAACAGAAGAAAACAAGAATTGATTGAGTACAGGTAAGGCCTTTTAGTTTTTGCATGTTGTGAGGTTTTGTCTATTTTACAGATGCCTTGGGAATAGAATTATAGAATAAAATGTTGGGATCTTGAAAACTTTTAATTGAAAATATCTGATGAGCTATCATGTCTAAAATATCAAGCTCAAATTTTATGATTAAGAGATCTAAAATAATAGCTAATGCATATAATGCTTACTATGTGCCAGGTATTGTTCATTCAGCAATTCTTCCATCAACCCTTAGAGGCAGGTAGTATTATTAATCCCATTTTTCAGATGAGGAAGTTGAAGCAAGTGATGTTATAAGCAAGTTTTCCAAGGCCCCACAGCTAGTCTGTGAAAGCCTAGATTTGGAAGTAGGTCATCTAATCCCAGGGTCCAAGCTACCACTGAAATTTATCACATATGTCATTATAGTTTATCATGAGTATTCTACCCAATCTAAAAAGTGTTATTATGGAACTATATCCACGTTCAGATAGAAAAATTTCAACCGAACAAATGTTTCAGTTTATTGGCTGCTGAGAATTTACCCACAAGATACACTTGTACATAGGTCAAGATGTATGGACCAAATATGTTTACTATAGGATTTTTTTTTCTTTTCAGTAGCAGCCGAGATCTCAAGATGGTCTAAGTATCCACTAATAAAGTATTGGTTAAGTAAATTATGGCCTATTTATAAAAATGGAGTATTCTGTAGTCATTGCAAAGAAGAAGAAAGATTGGTCTATGGTGATGTCAAAGCTTTGGAAGATGTAAGGAAATTTATTTGTATGAATAATAAAAATGTGCATATAATTTTCTGAAATAATATAGAAAAACATAACTGGGGTTAATATTGGGGTTAAGAGAGAAAACATGACAACGTGAATATACTTAACTCTACTGAATGGTACACTTAAAAATGGTCCAGATGGTAAATTTTATATGTATTTTACCACAATAAATAATAAAAGATAAAGGAGAAGAGACATTTACTGCTCATTTCTCACCTTTCTACTGTATTTTATTTATGTATATATTACTTTTGTTTTCACAAATATTCAATAAAAATAAACAAAATGCATAAAACAATGTTGTGAGTGGTCAGGCTGCATTACACTAATTTATTTGCATCCAGCTGTATTTTTATTATGGTCCTATCTGAAGAGCTTTAAGAGTTAACAAAATTAAACTTATGTGTGATTTCTGGTGACTTTTGATCAAATGAAAGTTTCTAAATAAATAGCCTAGCTCCCTAAAAACTTCACATCCTGTCAGAGAAGATAATTTTATTAAATGTGGACTATATAAAAACATCAGATTTAGCACCCACCTGGCATATTTTCTTGGAATTTATTTCAGATAATTTTGTTTTGAAGAACAGGTAGTTCCTCTGTAATTTCAGACTGTCCTTCTGAGAACACATTATCCTGGTGTCTTCTCTTCTTGACTACGCAATTTCTTTGTAACCTTTTATGGCTTTTGTTTTGTCTCTGCTTACGCCTTCCAAAAGTGAGCCAGAATATAAAAATACACAGAAAGTATGCCAAATATTATGAATTCTATGTTTTGAGGTTAAAGATAAAACATAGGCAAGTATCTAAGAGAGAACATTACCATTTATTAGTTTTCCTTTGATCATCCTTATCTTTACATGAAAATTTTGACTAAGCCCGAGTCTATAAGATTTCGCCCCTGCCTTACAGGTTTTAAGATCCCATGGATAAAGGTATTTCGACTTCTGGAAGGGACTATGATCAGATTTCCCCATAGTCTATAGCGGCCAGGCAGGTAAGTAAACAATGACATTGGCCAGGTGAGGAATGGAAACCTGGGGAGAGTATGTCCCATCTAAAGAGAGTGGATGGCTCTCAACTCCAGCCCATGGTTGTCCTATGGGACCCAATGTGGCAAGAACATCTCTTCCAATTTTTCAAAAGAAGCTGGAAATCTAGATTTTTATGTAAATGATTCCAATTGTTTAATGTTCACAATTAATTCAAAAAATTTGAAAGCACTGTGGGGCCAAGAAAAGCATGTCTCTTGGCTGAACTGAGATGTGACTTTGAATGGAATCCAACTCTCTTAATTTTACCGAAGAGGTGGCCAAGCGCAGAGGGAAGTGAAGTTACTCACTAACGTTCCAGGGCTGGTTTGGGGGAGGAACTGGGACCAGATACCATTCCCCTTGCAGCCCCATCCTCTTTCCTCAGCTTTTTAGTCCATCTAATGAAGCAGCAGACTAATTTAAGACAAGCATATGACGAACCTCCCATTCCCACACATGTGTCAGTAAGCCTTCAACCTGATGGGCTGGACCTTAACCACAAACAGAAGACCCAGCTGACAAACTACACCCACACTCCACTTAATTCAGGCTGGATCCCAGCTCTTGACCTTTTTTTGGGTGGATATGGGAAAGGAAAAGTTGGAAATTTTACCCTCGGTCTGTGGGAGGAATGGGAAAGTTTGCACTTTCTGGTAGAAATTTTTTAAAACCACTAATTATAAATGTGGCATTGCTTGGTAAGATCTTTTTCTCGGCTTCCCAGAAAACAGATACAGGGCCTCCATCCCCGGCTCCATGGCTACTTTACAGTAAGAGGCTTTGCCAGGAACTTGCGTTTTTCATGTAGTGACAGGAAATGAACCTGTTGGCTAAGAGTATTAACTCTGGAGCAAGATGGCCTGGGTTCAAATCCACACTCTGAAATTTATCAGCCATGTGTTCTTGCAGAGACTTTGCTGTGCCTCTGTCTCATCACCTGTAAAATGGGAACAATGTCAGCATCTCTCTTATAAGATTGTTGTGATAATTAAATGGATTAATACACGCAAAAAAGCACTCAGCACCATGTATGTCAGCTGCACCTTGGAATCTCCTGGGGGGAGCTTTCCAAAAATATGGATGCTTGGGTCCCACTTCTAGAGATTCTGGTTTAACAGGTCTGAGGTATGTCCTGGACATCAGAGTTTTTAAAATCTTGGCAGGTGATTCCAATGTGCAGACAAAGCTGAGAGCATTGAATATAAATGCTTATTAAATAAATGATGGCCCTCTGAGTGAATGAATTTCAAAGAAATTCAGATGCTCTCTTCTGCACGTAAGCATACATTTTGTAACTTCTTTATGACATTTTCTATGTGGTCGTCTTTCGGTGGCATTCAGCATGGAAGGCCAAAAGATCCTGGGCAAATTTGCAAAGAAGGTCAAATGCTTCTGGAAACCTCCCCATCTTCCCTGCCCTCTTCTCTCACCTCTGCCCCTGGCTTCAGGAAATTCAGGTGGCCCCTAGAGGCTCTGATTCAGCTGGGTAATGAAAGACAAATGGTGAAAATTCCATAAGGCACATAGGTATTTGTAAATCCAAATAACCTTTAACTAGTGGAACAAGCCTGTGGAGGTGTGTTACATGGGAGTATCTAGTGGAGACTGGAGAGGCACATCTTCTCCATCTCCCCAACTCTTGCCATTTCCAATGACCCAAGTCAATAGGTGAACTGGGGCCGCCAATGTGGCTCCCTAGCATCAAAAGACAGTACCTCTGAAATTAATCTCATCTGAGATGCTGGCAGATTGAGTTCAAAATATTGCTGATATAGTGAGTAGTTATCAATTGAGTGTGTCACATCCTACAGATGTAACATAGTATGCTCTCAAATTAAAATGGAATCCTTTTGACTTCCCTCTCTCACAGAAGGCTTGCTGTCTGTAAGCCTTGTAAGTCACCTGTCCCAACATCTTCAGTTTTGTTAGTGATCAGAATCTCTAATGCCCCTGGAGTGAGGGTGGGGAGACAGCAGATGGTAAAGGCAAATAAGATAGAAGGTCTGCCCTGAAACAGGAAATTGAGGAGAAGGCTTTTAAACCAACTGAAACCTTGATGAGGGGGTGGTAGCATCTGTGGTTTGAAGCACAGATTACCCAAGTTCCTTTGTTAGTGTACCTGGCATTTTTTCATAAGCCTCCATGTTTCCCCTCGGCTTGGTATCTTATTTAGTAAGCACGCTACTGAACACATCTGTTCTCACAATAGGAATTAGAATCAAAAGGCTTCCTCGGTGATTCTGGAATTTGTCACCAGAAAAAGAAGAAAGTTCATTGACCAAAGGTAGTCATTGCACACCTGCAACCTGAAACATCATGGAAGCTCTTGTACTCCAGCCACCAGGCTGTGGGGCTCGCCCTGAGAGGCCTGGGCCACCAGCTACAACTATTCCCTTTCTGCCCTGAGCTGTCAGGATTTCTGCCAATGATTCCACTTGTATGAGCTATCTATAATAAACTCACAGAAGCATAGAATACAATAGTGGTTTCCAGGGGTTGGGGACTGGGAAAGTGGAGAGTTGTTGTTCGATGGGTGTAAAATTTTAGTTCTGCTCGATGATTAAGTTCTAGGGATCTATTGCACAGCATAGCGCCTATAATTTACAATACTGTATTAGACACTTCAAATTTTGATAAGAGGGAAGATCTCATGTTAAATGTTCTTAACACACACACACACACACACACCCCAAAAACAAAAGGACACAAGGGAACTTTGGGAGGTGATGGATGTGACTATTATTTTGATCACAGTGATGGTATCACGGGTTTTTGCATATGTCTAAACTCATCAAATTCTGCACATTACATATCTGTAATTCTTTGCATACCACTTATACTTCAGTAAAACTATTAAAAATATTTCTGGCATTGTAAAAAAAAATAACAACAACCATAATTGTAGCTACCACTTGCATAGGGATAACTATCCTAAGGCCTAACTGCTCTCCGTTAACTAGCAGGTCCAATCCTCTTAACAACCCTATGAGGTAAGTAGCTTCATTTTCCAAACGAGGAAACTGAGACACAGAGAAGTTAAGTGACATGCCTAAAGTCACACAGCTAGAAAATGACAGAGCTTGGAATTGGGCAGCCAGTTCAGTTCTGGCTGCACTGCCCTCCCAGAAAGTGCCTAGCCTGGCACAACAAACCTTTTGTTAGGTTATATGGTCAGGGACTCTATTTCAAAAGCTCCCTTTTTTAAATAAACCCCCAATAAGCACCACCCTTCTGCCACCTCCCTCTCAACTCTTCCTCAAGTTAGAACATCTAAGCTACTTCCCAGGAGGTCCCTCAGCTGCCCTCATCCTACACTGCCTTCTTCTACTCATAGTTCCTCTTCAATGTTTCAGAGAACCAGGGTTCTCCTATATCCCAAGATGAATTTTAAATCACTCTTCCCATCAGTCCTCCTTGGAGAAGCAACATCTCCCATCATCTGTATATTCCATTTCGCTCTGTCCTTCTCTGGTGCCCACAAAACTGCAGGCATCTCATGGAGCAGAGCACAGGCTCAGGGCCAGGCTATCTAGGTTTGAATCCTGGACCCAGACTTTCTCATTGTGTGATTTTAAGCAAGTCACTTAACTACTCTGTATCATCTGTAACTTGGGAATAATAAGAATACCCATTCAGCGGAATTGCTATGAAGATTTAGTAAGTTAATGCAATCAAAGGCTTAGGACAGCGCCAGGCGCACAGTAAGTGCTCTAAATGCCACTGTTATGATTTGTATCTCCTCTACTTGAATACATGTCAATTGGCCCCATTGCTCTGTGAAGTTACTTCCCCACTTCCTTCTTTGATCTTAGTGACCAGGTCACTCTCCAACTCAAAATCCTTCAATGGCTCCCCATTGTTTACCCAATAAGATGAGATCACATTAGCTTGGGCTTCAAGGCCTGCCTCTTCCTATATGTGGATTGCTTCCTCCCTCCTTTCCTGCCTGACCCATCCATACCCACCCTTCAAGGCCCAGTTTCCATGATATCTCATACAAAAAAACCTTCTATGATCACCCCCTCAGAAATCCCTGCTTCCTTTTTGGAGCCCATACTTCTGTCCTGCATGGTTCCACCTCACTGTCCTGCACATCTCAAGAACAACCATCTATTATGTGCTTGTTTCCTTGTCTAGCATCCACTAACTGTCTTCTTCTCCCCCTAGTGCTACTTCTACAGCCAGACTGTATTGAGTGTTCAATAGGTGCTAAGTGTTGAGGTACATCCATCATCTCAGCCAATTCCCGTGAAAACCATGAGAATCATTATCCACATTTTACAGATGAGCTAGCTTCATAATTTACAAAAAGTCACACAGTTAGTAAATGACAGAGCCCAGACTTGAATCCAGGTCTGGCTGACTGCAAAGCTTGTACCTTAGCCACCATGCTACACAGCTGCTTCTCTGACTTTGTATCTTCCCCAGCCCTAATTTTAAAAGAAAACTGTGCTGCTGAGCACTTCAGCAGGTACTTAGGAACAATAATAATGAAATACGGATAATAATAACAGCTAATTTGAGTGCTTACTATGTGCCAGGTAACTTTAAAAGCACTTTACTTCTATTAACAAATGCAATCCTCACAACAAGCATTTGAAGTAGGTACAATTATTATTCCCACTTTATAGATGAGGCACAAAAGGGTTAAATAACTTGCTCAGGGTCACACGCTACAAGTGGCAGAGCTGGGATGCAAACTCAGGAAGTCTAGCCTCAGAGTCCAGGCTTGTAACTGTCATGCTGTCTCCCAGCATGTCTATTTTGAATGAATAAATGAATGAATGAATTTAAGGGGAAGGATAAAGAAAAAGAATCACATCATTGGAAATGGGGATTTAATGAATTTGTACTTTGTAGACACCCCCTAAACCAGATAACAGGAGCTGAACTGTGACACTCAGCCACATATCCTCTTCTGTGGATGGGCAGGTCAGAAGATAGGGGCAAAGTACCAGGGAACTTGGAAGGGAGCAAGAGCCATCCAGGCAGGACCTGGTGGCACCTCCCTGCTGCCTCCATCCACAATGCCATGGAGACTCACTGAAGTGACGCTGGGCTCTTGGCTTCTCCAGTGTGAAAATCCAGACGGGACTGCACACCTGCTGCCCAGCTCGGCCTCTGTGTCAGGAACACCAGCCCTGGGTGCCATGGAGAATCTTGTGAGCATGGGCTAGTGTGCCCACATAGGCAAGTGTCCATGCAACCTCCAGGAACCTGCCCAAGGCATTTGCAGTCAAAATGACCACTTGGCAGGGAGGCGCTAGCTAAACACTTCTCTTGGGCTTCATTCAGGAATGGAGCAAATCTGCACATGAAGAGATTGAAAGAATAAACAGAAGCCCCTGCTTTCCTATCCTAGTGCTGATTCTGGATTCTTTAACTGAAACAAATACTCATAGTTCCGGTTATCTTACTGATACCCATGAAAACTGCTTGCTTTGCTGATGTTAAAGCATCTTGTCCTTTCCTTATCAGAATACTTATGTCTTGTCACTGTCATTGTTCTTTTAATGGTCATTTACTGGCAAATAATTAGTAAGCTCCCTAAGAACAAGAATCATGCCTGCTTGCTCATCTCTGTGTGCCCAGGGCTTACCTGCAGATATTCAAACATCTGCTGAGTAAATTCATGAGCAAAAATGAGTAAGTGATCATGTCAACTGATGTCAACAGACCAGCTCACTGATATCCAGGTTTTCTCTCTGAAATTCTTGGTTCCCCTAGTGGCTAGGTGGGATTATATGACTTGTTCTGACCAATGGGTTGTTAATGAAGATGACATGTCATTTCTGATCTGGGGCACCAATTGGTGGTTCAAGACCCACAGAACTTTCTTTACCTCTGCCAGAGTGATTGACAATTTTCCAGATGGTGGGTTCTTTCTCAACCTAGGTCCTGCATTGGACATGTAATATGACTGAGAAATAGACCTTTGTTGTTTGAAGCCACCAAGGTTTGGAAGTTGTTACTGCAGCAAAACTTAGGCTATCCTGACTAATAGATATTCAGTTTAGACAAGATTTTCAGGGATCTACAGAACAGAAGAGCCTGAGGAAATTATCGTCTAGAACAGCTCATAAGACCTTTCTGCAATGTTGGAAATGTTCTCCTAAAGAACTCCATAATGAAAGCTGCTAATCCATTACTTTTTAAAAATATTTTAAAATTTGACAAACTATGCAATAATGGTTTGTCTTGCCACATTTCTTTGCCTGCCTCTATGATAAGTAAGAGTGTTTGGGACTGGCCATCAAAGGCAGACCACAAGATCAGTCATAGAATGCACACACTGCTTTCTGCATTAAAAAGAAAATGAAGAATGGAGATTATCCTTATTAATTGCCATCTGAAACACAAATCTCAGTTTTTTATCAGCTGTGAGGAAAAGAGACAATTCAATATCAATGCAATATTTAGAGACCAAGCTGAACATTCCAAGGCATCAAATTGTGTTGCTTCCAGCCTGTGATTTAAAAAATATATCATAATAATAATGCATTTAGTCAAACTGCTGTCTCCTAGCCCCCATGCAGGAGGAGGCTATCTCTTGAAACTCATGCACTAATTTGCCATGTAAATCTCCCCACTCACTAGGCTTGACTTTAACAGAGAACACTGTGGTGAGGAGGAAGGCCTGCAGAGGCAGCTGGCTTTATGGTTAGCTGGCTTTCCCTGGTTAGGAAAAGCTTCCATGAATATAGTTATTATGTAATTCATATGTGCTATTTAAGGGCCCATGGCATCTTGTCACTGCCATTGGTATACAAATATGTATTTTTATGGAAACCATCAATTAATGAGGGTCCTGGGTGGCCAGGCTGTGTACTAGGTTTTATGTACAGAATCTCACTGAATCCTGAGAGGCAGGGATTATTGAAGTCGTTTTTGTAAGTGAGGAAAACAGACTCAGAGACCAAAAAAGTGCTGGTATTCAGACCCATCTCAACTTAATCCAAAATTTCATGCATTTTTCTCTCTTTTTTTAAATACGATGTTTAGGATATGTGGCACCCCCATCTTTGGACAAAACAGGAGGAAAGCAAAAGCAAGCTTTTGTGTTGAGCAGAAGGGTTCAGGAAGAAGCATGAGGGAGGAGAATGAACCCTGAATTAGGAGGCAGAAAATATGGGTTCAACTTCAGTGTTCACAAAACCCCAGTGAATGACTTCCTCTTTCTGGGCCTCAATTTCTTCATCTGCAAAATGAAATGGTTCAATGGAGTCACCCTTTATGGTCTCGGTATTTTCACTGGTCTGGTCATACAGCCACAATGACTGCTAACCTTAACCTCAGCCTCCCTAGAAAAATCATTCCAAAGTTAGATTTTGTTTGTTGCTGCTGCATTTAAATTAATAAAGTTCAGGGTCAGCCTTGGAGGGTGTCGTAGTCACAACCAGTCTAAATCAGGTTTATAGCTTCACTGGGGAAATGGGTCAATTCAAATATTTGCCATTCATTTTTGTAGCACACTTATTTTAGAATAGTTTAAGATTTAAAGAAAATTTGCAAGGATAGTACAGAGTTACCACACCCAGATTCCTCTGTTATTAGCATCTTATATTTTATGGTACACTTGTCACAACTAATAAGCCAATAATGATGCATTATTATTAATGAAACTCCACACATTATTTTTATTTCCTTCAACTTTAGCGATGCCCCGTTTCTTCCCTGCAATCTCATCCAGGATACTGTACTATATATACTTAGTAGTCGTGTTTCCCTAGACTCCTCTAGGCTGTGACAGTTTCCCAGATTTTCCTTGTTTTTGATGACCTGTTTTAACAGTTTTGAAGAGTACTAATCAGATACTTTGCACGATGTCCCCCTGTGTGGGTTTGTCCAGTGTGCTTTTCTCATGGTTAGACTGTGGTTATCAGTTTTGGAGAGAGAGACCGCAGAAGTAAAGTGCCATTCTGATCACACCATATCTAGGCTGTATACTGTGAGCATGACTTACCACTACTAATATTAACCTTGATTACACGGCAGAGGTCATGTTGGACATGTTTCTCCACCGAAAATTTACATTATCTCCCTGTCCATACTGTACTCTTTGGAAGGCAGTCCCTATATGTAGCCCACATATAAAAGATGGGACTTCTCCTCCAACTCCTTGATGGGGGAGCATGCATTTTATAAAGTATAACCATGCAGGCAATAACTGCTGGGAAACAGATTCCAATTCTAAACCTTATTATCCCCAAAACAGCCAAGCCAAGATGATAACAAAATGTAATCACTGTGTCCAGTCTTTGGAAGGAGCATTCCCTAACGATGAGGGTAAACTGCTCTATGAAAGTAAAACACATAAAGCATCTTCCACAAAACATTTTGCTTAGTAGAGAGTTTATTCTATTCCTATTTACACAAGATTTGTTTATTATTCACAGCATTTAGTCTCACTCACACCTACAAATCTCATGTAGTTAAATATTACATATAAAGAGCTCTTGGAAATCAATAAGGAAGAAGGCAGAACTCATCTTTTCAAGTGAGCAAAAGGATGAAAAATAAATTTGCTGAAGAGTCTAAAGTGGTTACATCTGAAGTAGGGAAGGGGATAGAGAAATTATAGGGTACTCCCTCACTTTTTACTTCATACATTTCTAAATATTAAATGAGGATCTTTTGGCCATCATTTTTAAAAAGCAATAAAATATTCTTAAAGTAATAAAATTATATTCATTAAAATATATGTGGTATGATTTCTAATCTATACTGGCTATAAAAGCTGATGTCTGACCCTCTCTTTTACTTAACTGTTTCTTACAGTGAGGGAGAACCTACAGGCTTTGGGAACAGATGGCTGGTATTGTGAAACATGATGCGATTGTTTATTTGCATGTCTTAATTGGAAATTTAGCATTCAGGGTCACCCCACCTTATATGTTTATAATTAGAAATTACAGGCATCATTTTTCTTTGCTAAGTTTTCAAGATTTGGCAATTAAGATGATGACACAGGCAGACCATTGTTCACTAGGCAATTTTAGTTCTAGTTGGCATTCACTGGAAAAAAATTAGTCATGTGTAATTCCTGAGGAAACGTTATTGTTATTTTGCATATTCTTGCTTTGTTTATTAAATAAATATATATTTAAACAACTTCTGGATGAAGGAATTGTTAAATTTAAGACCATTTTGACAGTCCAGGGCAATCACAATAAAATCTATCATCTCTATATAATTTGCATCAAAAATGAGAAAAATTAAGAATAACTGGTTCCAGAATTTAACTGTAAAATCAGTTTATCTTCCTGAAAAGATAAAAATCCTTACACAAAGACTGTAATATTTTGGGGTGTTCATATAAGAGAAAAATAATGTCATATGAAAATTCAACGTATCAGCTGGGTGTGACGGCTCACGCCTGTAATTCCAGCACTTTGGGAGGCCGAGGCAGGTGGATCACTTGAGGCCAGGAGTTCAAGACCAGCCTGGCCAACATGGAGAAACCCTGTCTCTACTAAAAAATACAAAAATTAGCCAGGCATGGTGGCACTCACCTGTAGTCCCAGCTACTCAGGAGGCTGAGGCAGGAAAATCATTTGAACCCAGGAGGCAGAGATTGCAGTGAGCTGAGACCGTGCCACTGCACTCCAGCCTGGGTGACAGAGTGAGCCTCCATCTCAAAAATAAGTAAACAAAAATAAAAAATAAAATTCAACCTATCAGTGGTGAGTAATAGGCATGTAATAACAAGTGTGATCCTGACATGTGCTATTGAAATGCTGTAGGAGAGAAAAGTGTGGAAGAGTTACTGGCCAGGCAGGAACAACACCATCTCTGCTTTATCCCCAGTGAAAGAACCTAAGATAAACACAGATGGGAGCAAGAGAAATCAATGCCCACTTATTTTAAGGTGTGATTTTCTGCGCAGGAAAGATGCTCACAGAAGTGCTATGCATTTGTTTGTCTGACAAATGCTATAGCCATGGTCACAGCCTTGACCTGTGAGGGACTGAATTAGCTTTGACATTACTGTTCCGGCCTCTGAATGACTTCTAGTCTGCCGTTCACTGATGAGCTGAAGAAAATACATTCACACACATAATGAAACCTCTTCTGTCATCAAGTTTTTATTTAAGTGTCAGAGCTGAGTAGCCAAAATAACTTGAGAAGCCACTGAGAACATGAGGCAAGTACATTACTGAGGCTTAAGGGAAGAGTGTGACTTAAGCCATCTTGGAGGTAGCTAGACCTTTTGAAGCATTTCTTCAGGAAATTCCATTGGAAAAAACGGTTTGGAGTATTTTGGGGGTTTGTTTTTGTTTTCTTTTTGGAGAGGGCTGTGGACTTGGTGCTGACTTTATTTGGAACATTTAAATATTCTGGATACTATTTTTGAATAAAAATTTTCTCCTACAAATTTCACTCAGAAAGAGTTGAGATGAAAGAAAGCAACCCTAAAATTATTTTACCAATTCCAAACCTTCCAACAATATTGGAATATTTTAACTGAAGATCCACAGCATATTTGGTTACAATCTTTCTTTCCATGACAATGGGCTGCCAGCTGAAAAACAACTAGGATGGTGATGAGGGAAATTGTTTTTAACCTAGTAGAGACTAACTACTGAATAAAATTCTGTAAAGTGTCGAAATCCTACCTTCACAATCTCTGAAGTTCTGATTCGTCGTCAGAGCCTAGTCTAAGAAGTCTCTTCAACTGTTGGGCAGTCTATTTTGGAGAATAATCTCCTCAGATACACACCCCTTATAACCAAATGTTCAAATGATTCATTTTCCAATTTCTGCACGAACTTATGCTAGAAAATGGTTTTCCTGTCTCACCAAGCTGATGGAGTTTCTGTTGACATGTCTGAAGACGTAGAAAATTGGGAATCAAAAAGAATCAAAGACATTTTCCCCAGGAAGTTCAAAGAGTCTGCCAGCTGTCTCAGGTGTCTGGCTTGTAGCAAACCCAGGGAAGTTTGTGGTCCCTTAAGCCAGGGACATTTTGATGAATGTGTATATTCAATAGGCACCTGATATGTTGTAGTCTACATCATCCCTTTTCCAAACCACCACCACCACCAGCACCATCACCACCAACAAAACACATTGTCCAAATAGGCATCTTCCAAGTTTTAGTCAAAGACACATGAGAGAATAAAAGTCATTAGGAAGTAAAATACTTCAATTAGAAGATGTTTCCCAAACTTTAGTTATTTGCATATCACTACTGAGATCTTTGCCGTATCCTAGGACCACTGTACTTTCAGGTTGAACCATATAAACTTACCAATATTGGAACCTGATCTACACAACCAGAAATTTCAGACAGTTTTGTAGAAAATTTCAAGTGGCTCAGTTTCATATTATTAACTTATTTTTTTCTTCAGCTTGACTAACTTTAAAACCTTAAATTCAAGTCGGCAATCACGCTTCTTGGATATTTACCCAAAAAAGTTGAAATTTATATCTGCACAAAAACCTGCACACAAATGTTTATAGCAGCTTTATTCACAATTGCCAAAACTTAGAAGCAATCAAGATGTCCTTCAGTAGGTGAATGGATAAACTGTGTATCCAGACAATGGAATATTATTCAGCGCTAAAAAAGAAATGACCTAGCAGGCCATGAAAAGACATGGAGGAAACTTAAATGCATATTACTAAGTGAAAGAAGACAAAATGTTGCATATTTTATGATTCCAACTACATGACAATCTGGAGAATGCAAAACTATGGAGACAGTAAAAAGATCAGTGGTTTCCAGGGGTTAGTAGGGAGAAAGGAATGAATAGGAGGAGCACAGAGGATTTTTAGGGCCGTGAAACTACTCTGTATGATGCTGTAAAGGTGGATACATGTCATTCTACATTTGTCTAATGTTTTAGACAAATGCACACCAACAGTGAATACTAATGTAAACTCTGGTCATTGAATGATAATGATGTGTCAGTGTAGGTTCATCAACTGCAACAAATGTACCACTTGTTCAGGATGCTGATAATGGCTATGCATGTGTGGGGACAGAGAATATATGGGAAATCCTTGTACCTTTTTCTCAATATTTTCTGTGAATCTGATAATTCCTTAAAAACTAAAGTCTATTTAAAAAACAGCCTTAAATTAGTATTAAGGATTTCAGTCCTTAAGCATACTGTGGTAGAAAGTCTCCAAATATGGCCACCATCAATTCCTTCCCTCTGTGAATATTCATGCTACTTCTCTTATCAAGAGGTAGAGTCAATTTCTCCTTTCTGTGATTCTGGGTTGGCCTTGTGACATTTTTTGACCAATAGAATATGGCCTCTTTAAGAGGCTTGACAGTTTTCACCTTGTTCTCTAAAGAGAAGCCAGCCACTATGTAAGAAATCTGAATACTCAAGATCACCATGCTGTGAAAAAGCCCAGGTGCTAGGGCTTATGTGGGAAGGTCACATGGAGGAGAACTGAGGAACCCATCAGACAGCGAGAACCAAGACTTCACACATATGACTCCAGTTGAACCATCTTAGCCAGCTCTCAGAAATTTAGGCCATCCCAGCTGAGGTTCTAGACACTGTGAAGTACAGATGGGCCATCGTTGCTGTGAGCTATCTGAATTCATAGCCTACAAAATCAATGAGCATAATATAATATGTGCTGCTTTAAGTCCCTAGTTTGAGAATAGATCATTGAAACACTACTTGAGGACAGCTGCAGGTTAAGACCACAGATTAAGACCACAGATTCTGAAGCAGAATGCTCAATTCCAGCCTGGATACTTAACAGCTGTGCAACTGTGGGTAAATTATGGCTGTGATAAACTGCTACATTGGTGGTCCCCAATGAACCACATCACCTACTATTCACAGCCTTGTGCAATCCCTGGATGCTGACTCTGAGCTTAAGCATGTGACTTGCTTTGGCCAATGGGACATTTGCAGTAAGACCAAGCAGAGACTTGAAAAGCACTTGCATGATGGGAGTTGTCCTCTGGGAACACTTGCTCTTGGACCCCTGAGCCACCATGTAAAAAAATTTCAGGTGCCTTGCTGGAGAGATGGCACTGAAGGAGAGAATCCCAGCTAGCCCCAACTGTTCCAGCCATCTATGCTCAGGGGCCAGTTGTGGGAGTGAAGAATAGCAGAACTACCTGGCTGAGCCTAGCCCAGATCACAAATTAAATAAATAAATAAATAATTGTTTAAAGCCTCTAAGTTTGAGGATTATTTGCTATGCAGCAGTAAATAATTAAATAGAAATAATACCCATGAAATTGCAAATGTGATTAAATATTTTTCCTAGCATAAATTAAAAATTTTTTAAAGTCAGTCAATGCATCAGATAAAACTATCTTATCTACCACTTAATAATCCCCTTATCAGACTTTGGAAAATATTGGTTTAACAAGACAA
Source organism: Homo sapiens (assembly GCF_000001405.40). Taxonomy (NCBI): domain Eukaryota; kingdom Metazoa; phylum Chordata; class Mammalia; order Primates; family Hominidae; genus Homo; species Homo sapiens. Next base: position 125,443 of record NW_017363813.1, on the reverse strand, counting down.
CAATAATAATGATAACAAGTATAATAGCAATTAATAATTTAGCGGCTACTCTTTTCCAGACCTTGGGCTAAATGGTTTACATACATGACCTAATTTAATCCCCTCAACAACACTGTCAGTTAGGTGCTGTTATTCCCATTTTGTAGATAATGAAAGATGAGGAAGCTCAGAAAGGTAGGTAATTTGTCAAAGGTCACATGAAGGTCATGTTTGATGACTCTTAGAACTTTTTATGGAGTAGAAACTTCCCATGATCTGAAAGAAAATGAATGAGATCCACTCTTTGTATAAATGTTTCTCTGCCTTTTAGTTAAGAATTGCTGATATCATTGCTTGTATTATATTCAGGGGCTACTTCAGAGACAGAGCTGCTCTATATGACCAGAAACTTGGGCTACAGACAGGTTCCTCACCCTCCCACCACCTACCCACCTCCATTCCTGCTGATGGACTGTCAGGAGCAGTGCATTGTCCTCATTAGAGTCACTCTGACAATAACCAACAGTAGTTATTGGACATTTACCATGCACTCAGCTGAGTGCTGGAGTGGGAATGGCAAGTTGAGAAGAGATTCAGAATAACTGTAAAATAGGGCTGCAACCTTTGAAGAATTTATGTATTTGTTAAGGAGACCAGACTAGTTTACACACTCAAAATAGTCACTAGACAAACTAAGGCCATTTAAAATTATGTGCTAAATTACACAGAACAGATCTGACACAGAAGTTGAGAGAAAAGGAAAAAACCAGAGGAGGCTGAATGGAAAAGACAACTCTTGCATGCCTCAGAAGTGGGCGTAGGCTTTGCAAAATTGGAGCTCAGAGGAGAGGGCACTCTAGGTAAAGAAAACACCCAGGCAAAGATATGGCAAGGGAATAATCATGGAACAGAGAGACACATTGGGGGTGGAAAAGAAGTTTGGATCCATAGACCAAGAAGCACTGAACAGAATAAGATTGTGTTGAATTCACTTTGTGTCCCCAGTCTTGCACAGGGCCTGGAACATATAAGTACTCACTGGATAACCATAAGTCAGGTGTGGAGAGGAGAGTCCTCTCCATGGGCACAGGGAGTATTTGTGGGTGAAGCCTGGGTTGGAGAGAGGAAGACTGGGAGGCAAGAAAGTAAACTTCCAATGACTATACAAGGATGGAGTCAGAGGCCACGTGCATGGCCTTTCAGGAGGTGTCCTAGGGACAGTCCCAGGAACCCAGGCAGATTAAAGACCTGGAAGAGAGCATCCTCTCCTCTAGTGGGACCTGACTGCCCTGGAACAAGGCTTCCCTGCCATATCCCAGCAGGTATCTGAGGCATAGAAGCTCACCCCACCTACTGAGAGACATAGGAGGGTCCCAACAGCTTCCTTTATTGGCCTTGGACAGAGCTAAGCAACTGTCTTCTTCTTTCAGAAACTGTCCTTGACTTCACAATGACCCATGTTTCTCCTCTAGGAATGACCACCCCTTCCTGCCTCCCATTTTTGTCCTGGGCCTGACCAGCAATCACTGTTTCTGAATCCAGCCTGAAGAGGGAAGGAGGTCCCACAGCTTCCCAGGAAAACCTGGAACACTCACTGTGCTTTGGAGGTCTCTAAAGTCTCCATCAGCCAATGAAGTCTATGTGTCTTCTTCAAAGTCTTTTGATCCGGCAAAGCCACGTGCCACACCCAATGCCCACCATGGTGAGACACTTCTAGTGCACAGAGTCAGCAAAATCCAAACAGACTTCCTGGCTTCCTGACCCTCTGAGCACTCCCAAGCACTGGCTCAACGTTCTCACTCTCTCTTTGTTCTTCAGGGAACAGTGAGCTTTGGTTTGAGGTTACCTCAAAGGAAAAACAATTTGATGTGTGATAAGCCTCTGGCCGCTGGCAGAACAAGGAGGGCCTATCAGATGTGGGCTACTATAAAAAAAGTAAGGCTTTCCTATTGGGTTAAGCTAAACTGTAGTCCTAGTTTTTGATGAAAAGAAGCCAGCTAAAACTCCAGCCCAAGACTGACACCTGGGAATCCTTCTAGGAGAAATATAAATAAGCAAAGGAAGCCATTCTTGGAGATATGCAGAACTAGGAAAGCAATTTCATAAGCGTATACATTTCCAACAGCACCTCGGCAAAAACAGCTCAATTTGAGATATTCATTTGCATCAGAATAGTCATGAATATTCAAAAGTCAGCCAGTGTTTCAGAACCATTGTCTAATCCTGGCGCTTTCATCTTCCCCTTGAAAAGCAGATCATGGGTTTTCGAGAAAGGTAAACTTTGCTGGTGTTTGCACTGCCATGCCTGGCAGGAAAGGGGATGATTGTTTCTGTTTCTTAATATTAAAAAGTCTCAGCTGATGTGAAATCTTTGCACTTTGTTCTGATCAGGATAAGAATCATGCCAAAGACCTTGGATCTGGCCTTAGAGATGCACTTTTCAAACTGCTTGTTAGAGCTTTCTGTTCGGAATCCTGCAGACGTTTTCTGACACGCAGGTTACTTAAAGGGAAAACCCTGCCAGGGTCATGGGCCACATCCATGGAATGAATGCAGTCTAAGATTCAGGAGGCTCTTGTCATAGTACTCAGACTCTCTGGGCTACATTGGCCAACCCACTTATTTTTTGTACCTTTTTTATTTTTTTACCATAATATTTAATATTTTGCACCTTAATTGGACAAATTAAGACTCATGTGTATTCATCCTCCCTCTCTTCTTTTGCCTCAGTTTTACAAAATGAAATAAGATGATATTGCGTAACTGAAAGTGCTTCGAACTCCTTAGGGGGAAAGCAGGAGCTATGGCCAAGTCAGTGGTTGTCTATCAAAGCTTTCATTGCCAGAAAACAACACATTCTTATGATTCACAAGGTATTATCTTAGACAATTTTAATGTTAAGAAAACAATTTTCATTTTAAAAACAAAAAAAGTAAATAAATAAAAAAGGAGACTCACCAGTCTACCATTTGCTGAGATGATTGGCAGCTATTTCTAGCTTTCTTTGCTAAAATTGAATTTCTTCTTTATGCTCCAAACTGATAAATGGTTCAATAACAGGTTTAAGATGGGTTATGAGGAAAGGAGATGCAAGAAGGTTGAACTGGTACAGACTGAATAAGAAATTCATCTCTTTGCCCCCACCACATTCCAGCTGAAGCTCATTTTATTGTCGCCTAAGCTCTGTCTAAATTGTTCAATTTATGTGACAAAGTCTTGATGGTATCTCTTTAAGGCTGTCAGAGGAGCCAATGCAATGTCAATTCAGAAGTGAAGTCATTGTTACAAAAGTGCCTTTAGTGGAAAATGACAATGTGGGAAGTCTTACCTGTTCCCTTGCAATTATTTTCGTATTCAATTTGCAAGATAAAGGATGAGTGCCGCTCCACCCACCCCTATACCTTTGCCATCAGACTATGTTCTTTCTATTTATTTCTCAGGGTTGGCCTCAAATCACTAGACAGAGTCCTTGAATGTTAGTTCTGGGGAGATTTGGGATATTTTTTAGCCTAGCTACAGTTAGAGGATCTGAGAATCCAAAAAATAGAATTGTTCACAATGAATATTTTTATTAATCAGGCATTTAAAGAAAAACAAAACATGCTTTGCTGTTATAAGACTGAAAAGGATCTGAATCAAAAAGAAAAAGTCTGGGGGTGGGGTGAATCAGGATAGGGGGTGGGCATACTGCCCCATGGATTGAAGAATAAACACCGTGGCTTCCCTGCTCCTCTGGGAGGCAATTCCTAGTTGCGTTCTGCATAGTCCCAGGAGTCCCCAGTGAAACTGACCTCTTGATGCCCACAGCAGTAACCTGCGCATAAGCTCACCCATTACTGGGTTTCCCTTCTCCTACTCCTTTCCCTACTCCTTCACAATGCTTCCTAAGATCATCTCCCAGATAAACTACTTGCACCCAATTCCTGGTCTCAAGGTCTGCTTTTGATAACGGGGAAGTTTATACATCAAAAAGGCATTGCCCTTAATGGAGAGGTTCTCAATTAGGGGTGATTCTGCCCTCCGGAGGACACTTGGCAAAATCTGGAAATGTTTTTCTTGTCACAGTTGGGGTAGGGAGTGTTACTGGCATGTAATGGGAAGAGGCCACTGATGCTGCCAAATATCTGACAACGCACAGGACAGCCCTTCATAACAAAGAATTAGTAAGCCTGAAATGTCAGTAGTGTCTAGGATGGGAGATTCTGCCTTAGAGTACATGTTCTTCATGTCTCATACCATCAGCACAACTCATTACCCTAAAAATTGTATAAAGGTCAGCTTTTGAAGGATGAACTTCTAAAGAAAAGCCATCTAGACCATCTCATCTCTTCCTCTATTGTAATAATAGAAGAGTTATATTATAGGGTGTGGCAAAGGTGTGGTCCCTGAAGCTACAAATATGAAAGTGTGGTGATATTGAAGGAGACAAGACTGGCATTCAGCTGGGGCAGCATGGATCATGATAGGCAACTTCAGGGATATCACAGGCAAAGCACTAGGTCAACCATGTTTGGAAAACAACTTCTTTTTTAACCACTGAAGTGCAGTTGAACATATACCTACTACATGCTGAAATTATTTTGGTATTAACTGTGCTATATTTAACTAAACTTACCTAAACTCTTAAGATAGTGTTAAATGTACCTAAACAGATCGCAGACATTCTAGGTAAACATAAATAAGTGTAGCTCATTTTACAGATGAAGAAATTGAGGCTCAGATTAAGAAAGCTGCTCTTTGTCACACAGCTAGCAGGTGCCAAATCCGGGCTGGAACACAGATATGTGAACTCCCACCTTGTTTACTCCTTCACCCAGGGGCAGAGAGGAGCATATGGGAGAGCTAGTGTTTTATTGCTGGGTGGATTATATAAGTCCAGCAGATGGCTAACACTGAAGCCAGCAGTTTCTCAAAATTCCCAAATCCTAAGAAGTGTCAGTCTCATTGTGGTGAACTGTGGCCATCTTCTCCTGTATCTTAAAAGGGTAACTATAACAACACAACACACACACACACACACACACACACACACACACACACACACACACCATATTCCTTATCCTGGAAAACAATACAGAAAATTCAGCTTTAAAAAACTTTTAAATTACGGGTAAAGATAAAGATTGAAAAGTGAAATAAAGCTTATCCTGATGAATTCTGTCTCTGATTTCTTAAGAAGATGCCATAGGTATCTAAAGAAAACAGCCAATAGCAAAGAAGGGTGCTTTAACCGTAAAGTTTTACTCTGGGGAAGATCCCGGATATTAGCTCATCCACACGGACCTTAATTTTATAGGGAGGAAGGCAAGGCACAAAGAAGATAAGGAACACATGCAAACCCACTCAGCAGAGGCCAGAACATTCCCTGCCCATGACTGTAGAACTCGACTCTGGAGCCAATTTTCTAATATGGTTCTCATTTTTAAAATGCTGGTCTTCAAATATCGATACAGTTCTAAGCTACAGTGTTAATGTGCAATCCAAGAGGCACAAAAGAAGAGATGGAATGAAGCTCATTGCCTTACAGGAATTTCTGAGTTCTTTTCTTCTATAGTCATCTATAGCATGAATCTCCTTTACGGTTCCATGCAGAAAGAAATTCCTACCAAGTTCTAGATGACAAATTTGGGAGAGTAGTTAGCATTTATCAGAAATGAAATAAACATGTGGTATGTAACTATATAGTCTTTGGTTCTATAGGAGATTGGTGAGGGTGGCTGAATTTTTGCACTTCTATCACATTAATTAGAAAATCAATGCAAAGTAACTTTTTTTTCTTAGATCATTGATTTTTTTTCCGTCAAATTTGGGGAAAATGACAAGAAAATTTATGTGTTGGGCTTTTGTTTAATTTTGTGTTCTAACTAGACTACATAGCCATTGAGTGCTAGAAACAGATCACGTTTGCCTTCCTATCTCTAGTGCTTAGCACAAGGCTTGGCACTTAGTAAGTACTCCACATATTTGTGTTGAATGAATGAATAAATGAATGTCAATGATTGCTTTAGAAGGCATTCTGCCTTGATAGGAATTATTAATAAATGCAAGTCCATTTATTTTTCAGAAGTGTGTTTGAATTTTCCAGTCCTTTTATTTCTTGCAACCCTGGTCAGTCTTAGAACATCCATTTTTTTACATTAATAATTCAAAGAAGGAATTCCTGAAACAGAAGTCTGAATACGAATGCAAGTCATCATCTCAAAAATCATTCTTCCCTTCTCAAAGAAATTCATCTTTAGCTATGAAATAAACACAGAAAGCAGGAGTTATAAAGCTTGAGTGTTCTTTCCCTATTTCTGTTTATTTTTTAGTATTCTTCACTGGGTTCATTTTAAGTGCCAGTGGCAGTGTAGAGATGTGGTCATGAGCAGGGACTTTGGAACCAGAAAGACATAAAGTCAGGTCCCAGACCTGCTACTTTCCAGCCACATGACCTTGGGCAAGTTATTTCATCCCTCTGTGCCTCAATATCCACATCTATGTGGTGGCACCTATCTCATAAGGCTATTAGAAAGACTAAATGAGATACATACAAAGGTGCCTGGTATATACTGGATGCCCACTGAATGTTCGAAAGATAAATAAATAACTCTCCACCCTCTTATGATTACCCTACTTTTCTATATTAAGAGTGCATTCAAGACCTTGATTATGTCTGTTTCAGTTGTCTATTATGTCGTTAAGAAGCCACTCCAAAACTTAGTGGCTCAAAACAGTAAGAACCCGTCATTTCTTATGATAGTGAATTGTGACTGGGTAGTTTCTCTGCTGGTCTTACCTGGGCTCACTATGGAAGGTTAGCTAGGCTCTGGACGTCTCTCTCTGTGTGGTCTTTCATCTGGCCTTCATCATCATATAGTGGCCACAGGGCAGGGTTCCAAATGAGAACAGGCAGAAGCTGCACAAACTCTTGAAGTCTGGGCTCTAGAATCTGCACAATATAACTTCCACCACATTCTATTGGTCAAAGCAAGTCACAGGGCCAGCTCAGTTTGAAGAGAGTATAGACTCCACCTTTGGATGGAGGAGCAGCAAAGTCACATTGCAAAGGTCTATGCATACCGCTATGGGATACTTTGTGTCCATGACATAATCCACCACAATTCCCTCACCTCGCCTCATGCACACCTTCTTGGACTGTGCTTTCCCAATCTTCCACTTTCACTTCACAAATCTTTCAGTCGTTGCATAAAGTAAAAATAATGTTGTCACACAGCCAATGACTGCTGGAGAATCATGCAATAAGTCAGCGAACAAAGAGCTTGTGTCCAATGTAAGGTAGACACTCAAATCTAGGGACAGATTCAGAAAGAGCCATTTTCCAAAAAAGAAGCTAACAAGAACCCGCATGTCATGATCTTTTGTCCCTGAAGTAATTAATCCAAATGTAGGGCTTTGGAGTTGTTTTACTTATGGTTATCTCAATCCTACAGCCAGATTTCCTCAATCCTGGCATGTGGCAGCCATGGGGATGAGCCACTCACATTTCCCTCAAGAGAGAACCTGTTGGGATGATGACTGTTAGCTGATGGCCTTCATCTGCCACACCCCTGGAAATCACTTGTGTCCTCTTGGTGGCCACAGTGTCTTCAGGCTGCCCCAGGCAATGATTGAGCATGGTGAAGATACCAGGTTTGGGACACTTCTGTTCTAGGGCTCTGCATTGGCCTGACTGAGATTTTCTCACAGCTGCACTCTTCATGTCTTAAATAAGAAATGCTTTCCTTCCCCCAAGGTCCAAAAATATTGATCTATACTTTCTCTTCATAATTTTAAAGTTTTGCTTTGATTATTAAAGACTTTCATTTGTCTGGAGCAATTCCAGGGTATGGTGTGAGGTAGGAGTCCAGTTTCACTTCTATCCATATGGATGAGCACATTTTTAGCTCCACTTAACATACAGTCCCTCCTCTCCCAACTGCCAAGCCGCCTCTACCATCTATCAGAGTTCCATGTATACATAGGTCTGTTTGGGAACACTGCCTTATGCTCCATTGGTCACTTTCTCTACTGCTGTGCCAGTTCAGCACTGTCTTCCTTCCAGTAGCTTCATAATAACTTGGGTTATCCATAAGGTAAGCCTCTCCCCAGTCTTCTTCAGAAATGCTTTCACTCTGTCCCCTCACTCTTCCAGACACATTTTAGAGTCAGCTTCTAGTTCTATGAAAAATCCTGTTGATGTTTTGCTTGGTATCATTGAATTTAGAGGTCAATTTGAGGAGATTTAGCTTTTTAAAATTTCTTTCATTCTGTTTTCCTTGCTCCTTTGACTAAATGCCTGGCTGCCTATATTGCTCTGCATCCAGATGTGGAGGAGCCAATGGCTCCTTATAAAGGTCTTCAATTACTAATTTCTGTTTTTCAGCCTTCTTCCTTACTCTGAATCAGTCCCAGAGATCAATTATCCTCTTTGCTACACCTTAGAGGTAATTTTTATTTTCTCATTGTATTAATCAGGGTTCTCTAGAGGGACAGAATTAATGGAATATATATGGAGTTTATTAAGTATTAACTCATATGATCACAAGGTCCCACAATAGGCCATCTGCAGGCTGAGGAGCAAGAAGAGTCAGTCCGAGTTCCAAAAAAAGAAGAACTTGGAGTCTGATGTTCGAGGGCAGGAAGCATCCAGCACAGGAGAAAGACGTAGGCTGAGAGGCTAGGCCGGTCTAACCTTTTCATGTTTTCCTGCCTGTTTTTTGCTGGCAGCTGATTAGATGGTGCCCATCCAGATTAAGGGTGGGTCTGCCTTCCCCAGCCCACTGACTCAAATGTTAATCTCCCCTTTCGCAACAACCTCACAGACACACCCAGGATTAATACTTTGCATCCTTCAATCCAATCAAGTTGACACTTGGTATTAACCATCATACTTGTTTATATCTTTAAAATTTTTCTATGATCAATAAGCATTATCATTGCAATAAAATGAACAAACAAAATGGTTATCTTGTTCCCTTAGTGCTAAATTCAAGTCCAGCAGTCAACTTTCTTAATAACTTCAACCCCAACAGGATCAGTGTATACCCAGCCAGTGCGCTCCCAGATCAATGGCAGACATTGGTAATCCAATCACACACATTTACCTCATGTACCATGTCATCAGAATCTTTCTCAACACAGCCACACAGACTGCCACTGCAAGTTGTGAGGAAAACATTTTTGCCATCCAGAACACAATGATCATTCACTCTTCCTCCTAGATCTATATTCTACAAATAATTCTAAAGGAGTCAGTTCAGGGTGCTGGAAAGAGCACTGCACATAGAACCAGATGCTCTAGTGTACAGGTCTGGCTCTGCCACACTCTAATAGAAGATTTTTTTCATGGGACAGACAGCCACTTCCCTCATCCTCAAGCTTCCTCTGCTGTGAAATCTGGAGGTCGACCTAAGGGCTCTATCTGCTGTAGCACCTGATGTGATTCTAAATTTCATTTTTTCCCCAGGCACTTAACGCAGGCAAGAAAACAAACAATGATAATAATGCCCCATATCAAGGGCCTCCTCTGTGTTAAGCATTGTGCTAAGCACTTTACCTGGATTATCATTCCATTTACTGCTCGTAATATTACATGATCGTACTGTTCTCCCCATTTTACAGATGAAAAAATTTAGAATTAGAGAAGGAAAGTACCTTGTCTGAGACCATCCAGCAAGTCAATGGATACAGATGTGAGCCGATATCTGACTATAGCAACTGCTGCCCATGCTCTGCCCACACCCCACATCTTTCCACTGCCTTCTGTTGCAAGCATCTGCCACGCTCCACTTGAGGGCTTTCTCTCACCCCAGTGAGGCAGGCCATTAGTCTCAGAAGCAGAGGAAGTTAATGCCCCTGGAAACAGCTCTCATATAATGACAGATGAGAGTTGGAGGATACATACCCCATCTCCCTTGCCTCTTGGTTGGGATGACTCTGAGGCTTATTTTTCCCCTTCCTTGTCTTGCTTCCTCTCTTCCCCTCCTTTGCTTCCTGGGACCATCTCTCCCCAAAATTTCTTGTACTCAGATTCTTCTTGCTGGGTATTTTTTCCTGGAACTTAAACCAAGACAACCTTGCACCATGCTAGGCTGCCATGAAAATTAGACAATAGTGTTCTAGAAAAATACATCAAAAAATTCGTTTTTCAGCTTCTACTGCATTCCCTTTGAGTTTGGAGCATAGAATCCAGTTATATCAGAGTCTGTATCCCTTGAGAGAGAAGAGTTAGGGACACTTGGGGTTTGTAGAGCTATAAAGGCCACGAGGCCTTAGAAAGTGGACCCCTGTGTTCTTGTTCTGCCTTCAGCCACTTCCCCACTCTGTGCTCACAGACAAGTATGGAAACTTGAATACCTACTTCTTCATTTGTAAACAGAAAGCTCTATGATTCTGACTCAGATTTTAGATCTTGAGCTCAAGATAATCCAGCACAGATTGGCTGATCTATAGTTAAGGCTGGAATGCATCACTTTATGCAGCTGACAACTTTGCATAATGGAAATAAAGACCCAGACACTGGCATGCAGGAAAAGGTGAAAACACAACGCTAAACAAGGAAATAAGATCGACAGAGATAAAGTGCTGGGCAGTCAGTCCTAGGTGAAAATGTTAATTGTAATGCAGCCTTTTGGAGAAAAATGGAATGTAAATCTCTCAAAATACAATGTGTCCAGAGCTAAATATGCAGCCATTATGATGATTTTCCAAGAACTGTCATATTCAATTGTAGCGCTGAGATGTTTCTTTTCAGCTACACAACGCTTTTACACAATTAATAATCTCTTTTTAGAATCAATATTATTTTTTAGTGGCAGAGGCATTACTGAATGCCATGTCCTCCAGCCCTGTCTTCGTGGTGGTTGTTTGTGGGACCAACTGTAATAATTCTTGTGATTTTATTCAAGGAATTTGGGAAGAGAAAAAGATTCCTCGTAGAGCTTGAAAACAAAGCAAAGAAATCATCCCATGTGACTTTCTCCCCTGAAGTTCTCTGTGACTCCCTGTCTGCCATCAAGCTTGGGCTTCGATGTTAATTTTTCCATCTGCTTTGGCTGCAGGTAATTTGGAGACACTGACGTCATCAGACCATCTGTTCAGTAAAACCACAGCGATGCTTTCCTCCTGAGTTGTTTATGCCTTGACAGCTACTTTGGGCTATTTTCAATATACTCAAAGCAGAGACTAAATTGTGGTCCAAACAGTCCCTTAGCATTGCATCTAAGTGTAAAAATTAAAGTTAATTATTTTTGTAATTGTAACAAAAAAATCAGATGCACACCGAGTTATGGAAACTACTGGTTAATCTCAAGACAAAGGAAAGCAGATAGTTTGCATCATGATTTTTTTCTTCCTGATGCCTTCTGACAGCCTCAGTTTGTCTAGTCTGACCATTCCAGTTATGCCTAGGGCCTGACACAGGATAGTGCCAAATAAATTTTGTAGGATGAATGACTGGTATTTCCTTTATCTAAGGCACTCTTGAATATAATCCATTTATATATATTCTTTCCAGTCAGCTGTCCTCCTGTGCCCAGGAAGAACTGGGAGTTAACTTTCACTTCCTCTTTAAGAGGAACTTGAGAGGGCTGCAGAGGAAATGGAGATTTCATCACTTCAAAATCTGTAGAGACCACATTACACGTTTTGGAGGGTCAGTACTGCCTCTAGAATAGAGTGGATTTTTTTTAAATTCCTACAATGTGAAACTGATAGCAAATATTAAACCAAAAGCAAAATGGATTTGGATTTTAATGCAAATCATGAAGACTGGATGTACTTCTTCAAATAAATCTTAACAGCAACAACATAATTTTAAATAAATAATTTTAATGTAAATCATGAAGACTAGATGTACTTCTTAAAATAAATCTTAAGAGAGACAACTTATAATTGACCTATATGAACATCATGTCTCAAGTGATTTTAAATTATAGTACTTTATGTGTGCTATGTTGCACAAGTATCCTGAGATCCCCTTGCATTGCCTGAATGCCAATTTTCATTTTCATATTTAAGAAAGAATATTCTTAAATTCATTTCTTATTTCTTGCTCCATTCTTATCCCTTCCTCCTTCTCTTCCTCACTACCTTCCCACACTAATTCATGCCTAAGTCTTGTTGAGTTTGCCTTCTAAAAATAGTTCTTGATTCCTCTCATTTTTATTTTCTTTCCTAGCATTATCTTAGATCAAGTTACATTCATCTCTCATCTGGAGGTCTCTGGTCTTTAAACATCCACTCTTGTCCTCTCTAATTTGTTTCCTACAAGTTACAATGTAAATTTGATCATACTATCCTCCTAAAGACCTTTAATGACATACCATTGTTTTTAGAGTGAAGATCACAATCCCTAATAAGCCCTCCAAGGCTGTGCAACATTGTCCCCTGACTGCATAGGGGACGTTTACATTCCTTCACATTGCTTCACATTCCTTCCTCCTCTGTACTTCAGATACTATGGAATTTTGTTTGCTTGTTTGTTTCTAGTCCTTCCAACAGGCCGGCTCCCTCTTGCCACAGGTCCTTCGCACATGATGTTTATTCTTCCTGGTCACTCTTCCCCTGGTTAAAGCCTACCTATTTTTCAGATCTCAATTCTTTTTAAGTTTCTCTTTAAAACTAATCTTCTAGACCAAGCCTGGTCCCTCTGCCTGCTTTCACCTTCTTTCTTGGTAACAGAAGCCCCAGTTTTTAACAGGGCACATGACTTAAAAGCCCCTATTACAGCTAAGTGTGGAGGTGTGACTAAACTACAGCCAAAGATTTGTAAGTGGAAGTGGTGTGTTCATTTTCCAGGACATGCCTTTCATTATACCTTTCTCCTTCCTCTGGCTGGAATACATGATGGCTGGAGACTAAGCCATTATCTTGGACCATGAAGTGGAAGCCACATGCTGGGGATAAGGAACAACAAGACAGAAGGAACCTGAGTCACTAACACTGTGGGACACAGTATCAACACTGGTCTACCTACAGTGACATGACAGAGAAGTAACCTTCTATCTTGTGTAACTCATCTTCATTTTAGTTTATTTCAACTTGTATCTGAATCTAATTCAAACTTATGCAGTGTGATTAATATGTCTCCCCCACCAAACCATAAGCTGGATGAGGGCAGGGACCATGTCTGGATGAACTTTATATTCCCACGACCCATCAGGAGGCCTTGTAGATACTCAAATAAATATTTGTAGAAAGGAAAAAAGGAAGGAAAGGAGAAAAGAAAAAATGCCTATACTTCCTAGAATTTAAGAAAATTTCAAGTGTATCTTTTATAGACAAAGTTGTAGTAAGATCTGCCAATCCAACCCACTGTCTCATTAGGCAAGGCTGAAAATTAATCTCCTGACACTCTGCAAAGCAGAGGGGGGAAGAAGGGAAGAGGAAGACTTGTACCTCATTCTAGTGGGATGAACAGCATATACAATAAACAGACACGTGAGCAGGGCAGTACAGTCAGCAGGGGCCAGGTCATGGGGGCCTTGTCAAGGACAAGGCAGATTTTACCCTGGTAGCAATGAAGGTATATCAAGGGGTTTTGTTTATTTTTTATGACATAACATATTTGAGAAATATTATAGTGGTTGCTGTGAGGAAGTTGGAGAGCAGGGAAGAGGTGCTGGAGACTATCCAATCAGTGTCAGGCTAAATAATGATGAAAATGAGTGCTTATGTTAATTGTTAGTACTGTTTATCAATGTCCAGACTCCTCTCCTTCAGGACATACAGCAGGATTGCACTTCTAGTCTTCCTTATGGTGTAGTGGTGCCATGTGATTAGTTCTAGGAAGTGAGTTGTAATCAGAAATGATGTCTGTCATCTCCAGGTTGAGAAATTCACTGCCAGAATGATCTCCTCCATAATGTTCTTGCCTTCTGCCTTGGCAACCGCCAATGTTCCTGACAGTGGATGCTCCATCTACCCGGGTCCCAGAATTAAGATGACACAGATCAGAGCTCCTAGCTAACACAAAGCAGACATGAGTGTGAGTGTAAGTCAATCTTTGTTCTTTGAAACCACTGAGATATTAGGGTTGCTTGTTACAGCATCACATATTAGCCTATTCTGACTGAGCAACGTCCACTTTTAGCAATGCTTTGAGCGTTGGCCACAAGATAAATCCACAAATGAGATAAAATAAAACATTTCAAGATTAATAAAACAGAATAGGATAAAGTTTTAAAATATTGTCCTCTCTGTTTTTGAAAATTAACAATTAAAATAACTTCATTTTCTTGACAAATCTTTGATGCCCACTTCTAGAAATGTTAGTAGAAACCCTGTTTGCCACCAAATTGATTAATTATTGAAGAGCAGTTCTAAAAATGGCATTGGTTAAAGCCATGCACTTCTTTCCATGTTCCATTGTGACTTTGAGTCTTCTGAATAACCTGACTCAAGTAATATGTATCAAGTACTCCTGAAATGCCAGTCAGTGTGTTGGATACAAACTCCTGAAATGCCAGTCAGTGTGTTGGATACAAACAAAAAAAAAACCACAAAGACCATGCCTTTCACGTGCTCATGGTCTGGAAGCAGAAATAAGCACATAAACAAAAAATTAGTTAATCCCTGTGACTCAGTTTTCTCATTATTAGATGAGGATAATTATAGTACCAGCCTCTTGAGTTGTTGTGAGGACTGAATGCAAAACAGAAACATATGATGTGCTTAATACATACTACACAAACAAACAAGTATGGAGTAATCAGGGCTATCATGAAGGAATTTGTAAAGTGTCACATGACTACCTGTAAGGGAGGAATTAATTACAGGATGGTGTGGGTAGCAAACCCTCCACATCCTACCAGTCTCATATCCCATCAGTCCAACTTAAGTTTCCCTAAAGCTGCAACGTGAATTTTCTATGCATGCTGACAGCTTCCCTCTTCAAGCCTGAGCCTTTCTGCTTCCATGCCTGAGGAAGAGCTTTCTGTGGCACAAGTGTGGGTCTTGCTCAGCTATGCTCAGGGCAGCCTGGAAGTGCTGGGGATTTACCAACCCCAGAAGCATTTCTTAACCAATGAGGGTTAGAGTTGGCAAACAAATACCCAGCTTCCCTGTTCCACAGTGGGACAATTCCAAGGCATATTCTGTGCCTTGGCCTTACCATTGTAGTGTACAACTGCCTGACTTCCAGCCACCTAGGGGCTTATTTGTGTGGTTGGAGCCCACTCTGTCCAAACTTAGGAAGACACAAGTCCCAGTGAATTAATGCCTATCCCCATGCCGCAGCCCAACAACAAGAGTTGAAGGATAAATACTACACTTCCTTCTGCCCTCAGGTGGGATGACCCTGGAGGCATGGTCTATACTGACTTCTAGGTCTGTCCTCAGTGATAACTGGCTTCATCTTGTACCTTTCATTGAAGCCTTCCTTTTCCTGTCCCACTTCCTCACACCAGTGCCCTCTGTGATTATCTCCCAAATAAACTACTTGCACTCAATTCCTGGTCCCAGGGCTTCTTGGGGAATCCATATGTAGACAACAATCACCAATCAGTCTTTCTATTTTAGTGCCAGCTCCAACAACACTGTTTTGTCCGATGAAAACTTGTGGGATTTCAACAAATCATTTTGATGTTTTATTGGTTATGTTTGAATTATCCCTGTTGCTACAGAAACTAGAAAGGGTTATCTATGTAATAAGAATATGCCATAGACGTGGATTTGAGCGAGGAGGGCAGAGTTATTGCAGGACTGGCTGGAAAGAGGGTCCCTAAAAATGCATACTGGGAAGACAGATGTAAGAGGAATTAAAAGTGGCTCACTAGCTAGCTAAAAAAGTAAAAAGACAGAAAAAAATAAGGTGACAGGCAGAGATAAATAAAGATAGATTTGCACTGAGAAAAGAACAGTCTCTCACTTTTTCCTTCTCTAGAAGTTGAGTGCAATGTGCTGAGCCACAGGTGGTGAATCTTGATTGGTTAATGTCAGCCATGACAACATTGTTTCCACTGTTACTCCTTCTTTGCTGGTACAAGTTGCCACATGACTAGTTCTAGCCAAAGAGATGTAAGATAAAGCTCACTGGGGGATTCTAGGAATGTTTTTGCTTTCCTGATTTTCCTGATAAAAGGGACAGAGTTAAGATGTCACTGTTCCATCGTGTGTGTGTGTGTGTGTGTGTGTGTGTGTGTGTGTGTGTGAAATACAGATATGATACCTGGAACTGCAGCAGACCTATCTTGTGATCATGAGGCAACAAGCTCACATGCTAAGAATGGCTGAGTGGAAAGATATAGTCTGTCTACATTTAGCATTCACCTGGGCTGCTGATATATGACACATTTGTTACAGAGGAAAATAAACCTCCATTTGTTTAAGCAACTTCTAGTGAAGTGTGAAGTTTTCTGTTACCTGCAAACCAAGGCATTCCTAAGTCCTAAAAATACTGTCTTTCAAGTTACATCCCCAAGTCCTTTAAAAAATATTAGTATATGTGGCAATGACAACTAATTAGAAGTAACATTAGATCAATAAAATCTTGGTTAATTAGAATTAAGTTTTAAGACTCACAGTTCACAGTTCTAAGTTCAATTAAGCTACAGAAAGTAATTAATTGATTCATTAATTAGAAAGAACTACATGTTAAAAGACTGCTGCTATAAGCAGTCAGTAACCCAATTTGATTGCTACAAATAGAAAATCTTCTGGGAATACTCAGAGATTATACACACATACTGTATGTATATAACCTCTGAGTATTCCCCGTACTCATATATACATAGACATATAAGTTTATTCTCAGTACAGCATATGTGTGTGTATGTCTATATACCTATACATACATATATGTCTATATACATATACATACACACACACACACACACACACACACTTCTCTCTTAGATAACATATAGAATATTTCGCCTCTTGGGTTTTTTTTTAATCATCTAAGAATAGTCCTATATCAATTCAAAGAGCATTTCCTCATATCTTTTTCTTTAATAGCTGCATGGTATTGCACTGTGTGACTATCTCATGGTCTAGTCAAATCACTTTCATGTGGATGGGTGTTATGAACTGAATTATGTCCCTCCCCCAATTCATATATTGAAGTCTCCTAGTCCCGTTTACCCAAGAATGTGACTATATTTGGAGGTAGGGCCTTTACAGAGGTAATTAAGGTTAAATGAGGACATAAGGGTGAGGTCCTAATCCAATAGATTGATTTCTTTATGAAAAGAGGAAGAGACACCAGAGGAAAGGCCATGTGAGGACAGAGCAAGAAGGAAGCCATCTGCAAGACAGGGAGAGAGGTCTCAGGAGGAACCAATCCTCCTGACACCTTGATTTGGACTTCCCAGCTTCCAGAACTGTGAGAAAATAAACATCTGTTCAAGCCACCCAGTCTGTGGTATTTTGTTACAGCAGCCTGGAAAAATAATACAACGGATATTTAGGTTGTTTCCAGTATTTTTAGTATTATAATTAGTGCTATAATGAATAATCTTGTAAAATGTTGTTTCATATTTTTAGAAATATATTCTCAGGATAAATGCCTAAAGCAGAATTGTTGGATCAAAGGCTAAATGGGTAGGAACAGTGGTCTTATTAGATACTGACAAATTCCCCTCCATAGGGATCCCACCACTTTGCAGTCCCCAGAATGATATATTTTGGTGCCTGATACCCCAGCAGTTTTGACAACAGGCAGTTGTTAAAATTCTTAACTTTCACTAATCTAATAGATAAAACGGTACACCAGTACGGTTAATTAACATTTCTTTTAAGATGAGTAAAGTTGAGCATTTCTTTAAATGTAAGGGCCTTTGGTAAACCTTTTTCTGTGAACTGTCTGCACATGTCATTTATCTATTTTTTAGTTAGATTTCTACTTTCTTTTTCCTTCATTTTTAAGAGCTCTTTATGTATATTCATGTACATAGATTGGTGGACAGGAATTCTCTTTTATCTGTAATATATGTTGCAAATATTTATTCTCAGTTTTTACTTGCCTTTTGACATTATTGCAAAAGTTTTTGTTTGGAAACCATTTTAAAATTACAGAAAAGTAGCCAGAATAGTATAAAGAATTACCTTTTACCTTTTACCCAGGTTTGTTAATTGTTGACATTTTGTCACATTTGCTTTATTTCTCTCTTACTCTGAACATTTGAGGATAAATTGCAAATATTGAATCGCTTTCCCACTAAAATACTCCAATGTGAATTTTCGACAACAGAAAACTTAAATTGATACACTATTGCTTAATCTGCAGATTTATTTAAATTTTTCCAATTATCTCAAAATATCTTTTA
The DNA here is from genome assembly GCF_000001405.40 of Homo sapiens. NCBI lineage: Eukaryota > Metazoa > Chordata > Mammalia > Primates > Hominidae > Homo > Homo sapiens. The sequence continues at coordinate 107,216 of NW_017363813.1, read as the reverse complement.
TAGTTTTTTTTTCTGGTCTAGGTTTAAATCCAGGATCATGCTTTACATTTAGTTTTGGTTGTCTCTTCAGTCTTCTTTAATCTAGTACAGTTTCTCACCTTTTCTTTGTCTTTCATGATGTTGAAATTGTGGGCAAACACAAGCCATTTATTTTGCAAAGTGTCCTTTAATATGGATTTGTCTGATGTTTCCTTGTGCTTAGATTCAGACTGTGCATTTGTAACAGGAATATCACAGAGTGATACTATATCTTTCCTTGTACAGCATAGCAAGAGGCACATGATGTTGACTCATTATTGTGATGTTGACTTTGATCACTTAGTTCAAGTGGTAACTACCAGCTTTTGTCATTGTTGAATTACTATTTCCCTTTTGTAATTTTGTAAGTAATTTGTGGGGTGATAAAAATCTTATTCCTTATCACACTTTTACACATGAGTTTTAATATCCATAAATGATTCTTGCCTGAATGAATTAATACTACAGTGTTTGCAAAATAAGGATTTTCTAATTCCATCATTTATTCTATAGTTATTCATTGTCATTCCACTGTTAGGAAGTTCTTTTCCTTCTCTCTATAACTCTCTATCTCTCTGTCTCTCTCTATATCTCTCTACTTGTCCATCTGTTTAAAGTCTGTGCAGACTCATGGACTCTTATTTCATTCAGTGAGTTATACTTCATTACCATCATTACTTATTTTGATGTATAGCAAGCATTTTTAATATCCAAGAACTCTCACTTCCTGATTGCTTTCTCTTTTTGTAAATATTCTCACTGGCTGAAATAGGGATTGCTTTTCAATGTTCACTTCTCCATACTCAGTTTTTCTATCATTTCCTCTTTGTTTCTCTTTCTTGTGCAAATGGTTGCTTGCAAAGGGCTAAGAGTTTTTGGTCACCCATTCATCTTAAAATATAAAGGCTCATGCAGACTAATGCAAATGGCTGGTGACTCCTTCCTCAGTTGTGTCGGTCCTTTTCTAAGAGGCTTCACGGTAAATGTGAGAGCATATAGTCATCTGACGGCAGCTTCACTTTAGGATATGAGATCATGAAAACCCCCTCTGAGAATCAGAAGGGCTTTGCAGTGAGACACCAGCCCCCCACTTTGGAAGCTCCTGCTCTCTCCCCAAGGAGCTCTTGTGATATCTTTAGCCGACAGTGCTCCCACGTTTGTCCTGGAGATGAACCCCTAGCTGCTAGTTCTCCTGCAGCTCCATGGGTGGGCGAGGGGAGCATTTATGCATGTGAGTCGTGGGGGCAGGGAAACTTGCATAGCTTTGCCACAGGCAATCTTCCAATTTACACTTTCTCCACAGTTTACCATCCCACCTCCCACACTAGCTCTTTCTACCTGGTGACTCTCCACTTCCAATATTACTGGGACCCTGGGGGAGATGAGCTCCAGGCTGAGCTGCAGCCTTCATTCTGGCAGTGGTGGGTTCCTCCATCTGTTTACCTGTCAGTGTGCTCCCATTCACTGTCTGCCATCCAGACATTCATTAATAACTCACTCCCACGCTCCACACTCTTGGGGGCTTATTTCCTCTGGAACTTCTGTGTCATAATTTCAATAGAATTCAGAGAGAGAATGGGAAGACAAATGCATGTGGACCACCATCCTGACCGAGAAAGCCACATTGTTATAAGATGGTATAGTTCAAGGGCATTTGACTGGGATGTAGAGTACTTATCCTAATTCCACCAACCATCAATATCACCATGTTCTTATACTTCTTTTCCCCACCAGTCCCTTACAGCTCCAACATTCTGAGATTCTTTAGGTAGCATGTTCCCACAGAGCTGACACCCATCAGCTGCTTCTGTGAGCCTGATCCCTGACATTTCCTTCTGCCACCTCTATGCATCACAAATGAGCATTTGTGTCACCTTCTCCTTTTCCACAATCCATGAACATTCAAAAGTTTAAGTAGGAAGAGAATCAGAAGCTAATTATTCAGTGAGAACTGAGGAGTCTCAAAATGATGCAAAATCCTTTCACCCCTTTTTACTTTAAAATCCTCTGCTAACAACCGTAGACTCTGCTCTTTCTTGAGACCTACTGTAAAGATGAAAAGGGGTGCTACCTTTCCTCATGCATTATAAGGATCATGGCCAACACTCCTGTAACAAAAAACAGGTTAATAAGAGAAAAACGTAGCAAATTTATTTTATCAAAATTGTACATGATACAGGAGACTTCAGAAATGTAGACCCAAAGACACATGGAAAACTGTCTGTTTTTGTGGTTAGATTTTTATGAAGAATGGACAATCATATAAAATGTGATTGGATAAAAAGGATATTATCTAATGGTAATAGACTGTCAGGTCAGCGGGGACCCAGCAAGACCTGTCTGTTTATGTTCTTCTTGATCTCTCTCTGTAGCATTTCTTCCTCCCAGGTATGGGGCAGGACCCCCTGGAATCAGGGTCCTCAAAGGACAAGAGAGAAGAAAAAGAGTGACATTTCTAAGTTTTGACTCGCTATGACTTGCTTTGGAGGAGAAAGAGGGGCAGGAGACAAGGAGAGCAGAAGAAGGTCAAAGAGAGACTCTGCTTCTGAGGCCTTCCAATCTCCTTTAGTTCGAAGTACTCAGCATGCCAAGGCAGATACTTTGGGGAGTCATTTTCTGAACCCCAACACTACCTTTCCTAGAAACAAAAAGACACTAAAAGTGAAAAGATCAGGCAAGGGAAGTAGCAGAAGCAAAGCTGCCTGATACTGCCACAATAGTGAGAATATATTCATTCATCCAAAGAGAAGCTACCAGAACCCAAGAACATTTAAAACACAGCCCTTGTTCTCCAGAAATCTACAGATTCATCAATCATGTTTCCAATCATGGGGCCAAATTGGAAAGGAGCAGTCAAGTGTTTCTTCTCTAGATGAATGTGAGGGTGTATGAGATTTCACTGGTGGAGACTGCAGCCTTGAGGGGTGCCCTTTGTTACTGCCAAAAAACCGCCAAAGACGAATGAAAGATGTGCATCCCACCAAGAAGTAGACCTTGAAGCACATGGCACAGAGATGAGCCAATTCACAGGGAAGGAAGTGTGCCAAGGTGGTGTGCTAAGGACACAGGAAGAATGGATGTAGGTAGTCAAAGCCAGCATCTCATCTCCCCTTATACTATTTGCCCATTCAGAAAAGGCTTGCTGAAGTCAGTCAAAGATGGCATAGATCTTATGCAGAACATTATCTGAAGACAGGCTATTGCTTATAATAGCAAGTAGAAAAAATACGTATGGTTTATTTAGGCCAGTTTTAGCATTTGCCTCAGATATCTTCTATGGCATAACAAACCATTCCCAAACCTGATGGCTTAAAAAAAAAAAACAACCATTTTATTATACCTTATAAGATAATTTAGTGGCCAAAAATTTGACTAAGACTCAGTGGGGCAATTCTCTTATTTCATATGACCTCAACTGAGATCACTTGGTGACCTCACTAGTGGTATTCATGTGATTCTGATCTGGAATATCCAAGACAGTTTCACTATGTCTGGTGCCACAGTGTTGGATGGAAGGCTGTGCCCAGCTGGGACTGTGAACAGGAGTACCCATGTGTGACTACTTCAGCACTGCAGTCTCAGAGTAATTGGGCTTCTTACATGGTGGCTGAGGGCTCCAAATGAAAGTATTCCAAGACGTGGCAAGCGGACGATGACAGTGCCTTAAAGCCTGAGCCAAGATACTGCCACAGTATCACTTCCCCTGTATTCTATACACTCATAGAGCTGCCCATACTCAAGAGGAGGGAATCTGGACCCCACTTGTCAATGGAGGAGTATCAAAGAATTTGTGGCCATCTTAAACCACTACAGCATTAAAAAGGAAACTAGAGAACAGAGTGCTACGCTATCGCACTGACAGGATGACTAATCCTCGTGTTTTCCCATGATTTTCAGGGCTAAATCCAGGACCATTCCAGGCAAACTATATCAGTTGGTCATGCTATTTACTCAGCCCCATTCTAGATTCACCTTGACTTTGACTGGCATGGAGGCTGTATTAGCCTGTTTTCACACTGCTATAAAGATGCTACCTGAGACTGGGTAATTTATGGAGAAAAGAGGTTTAATTGACTCACAGTTTCACATAGCTGGGGAGGCCTCAGGAACCTTCAGTCATGTATCAGCATGATACATAGAAGTGGGGCCATTGCTATAACAATACCTAAAAATGTGGAAGCAGCTTTGGAACTAGGTAATGGGCAGAGGCTGTAAGAATTTGGGGAAGCAGGCTGGAAAAACCTTCATTGCTGTGAATGGAGCATTAAGAGCGATTATAAAGAGGGATCAGAAGAAGACTAGGGAAAGTCTGAATCTTCTTAGAGATGACTTAAGTGATCGTGACCAAAATGTTGATAGAAATAGGGACAGTAAAAGTCTCTTTGACAAAGTCTCAGATGGAACTGAAGAACAGGATATCAAAAATTAGAGCAAAGGTCATTCTTGTTGTAAAGTAGCAAAGAACTTGGCTGAACTTTATCCAAGCCTAAAATTGCTTTATGGAAGGTTTGGAATTTAAGAGTGATGAACTATTATATATGGCAGAAGAAATGTCTAAATTGCAAAGCATTTAGGCTGCTGCTGCTGCCTGGCTACTTTTAACTGCTTCAAGTAAGATGCTAGAAGAGAGAAATAATTTAAAGACAGAATTTATGACTAAAAGGGAAGCAGAGTGAAAAGACTTGGAAAATTCACAGCGTGGCTATGTAAGGAACAGAAAAGTATGCATGGGTATGGCCAAATGACTGTTTGCTAAAGAGATTAGCATGGATAGAAGGAAGGCAGATGCTATTCAACAAGACAATGGGAGAAAGACTCTGAAGGCATTTCAGAGATCTTCAAGGCTGCCTTTTTTTGCATCACAGGCCCAAAGCTCTAGTAAGGCAGAATGGTTTTGGGGAATGGGAACAGGGTACCCTCTGCAGGCTCAATGTCCAGGGCCACCTTGCTACTCTGCTCCCTGCACTCTGGTGTAGCACCCCTTGTCTGCCCCAGCTGTGGCTCAGATGGGCTCAAATATTGCTCAACCCACTGCTCTGAAAGATACAAATGGTAAGCCTTGGTACTGTTCACGTGGTGCTAATTCTGCAAGTGTACAGAATGTAACAGCTGTGAAGGCATGGCTTCCTCTATCTGGATGGCAAAGGATGCTGCAAACCATGTGTGAAAACCTAGGCAGACACCTGCCACAGTCGAGTGTGGGAGTGGAGAGTCACAACAGAGAGCCCTTAGTGGAGCAATACTCAGTGAAAGCATGTGGTTAAGGCAACCCTAAAGACCCCAGAACTGTAGAGCTACTTGCATGCAATGCCAGCCTGGGATAGCTGCAGGCACAAGACTTCAACCCCTCCAGTGTGCCCAGGAAGCAGGACATGGAGTCAAAGACTCCAGCCTTTTTTTTTTTTTCTTGCCCCATGTGATCATATTCTCCAGCTTTAAAAATTAATGTCTGCCCTTTTGGGTTTTACACTAACTTAGGGCCTGTTACTCTTTTCTTTTTGCCTATTTCTTCCTTTTGGAATGGGAAGGTCTATCCCATGTCTGTCCCACCATTGTATTTTGGAAGTAGATAAATTGTTTTGATTTCACAGGCTCAATAGCTGGAGGAATTTACCTTGGGACAAATCATGCTTTGAGTCTGTATTAGTCTGTTTCACACTGCTACAAATAAATACCTAAGATTTATAAAGGAAAGATGTTTAATTGACTCACAGTTCTGCATGGCTGGGGAAGCCTCAAGAAACTTACAATCATGGTGGAAGGCAAAGGGGAAGCAAACACCTACTTCCCAAGGCTGCAAGACGGAGTGAGTGCAAGAATGAGGAAGTGCTACACTTTAAAACCATCAGCTCTTGGTAAGAACTCACTATCTTGAGAACAGCATGGAGGAAATCACCCCCGTGATCCAATTACCTCCCCCTGGTTCCTCTCTTGACACATGGGGATTGCAATTTGAGATGAGATTTGGGTGCGGAAACAGAGCCAAACTATGTCAGAGTCTCACCTATATTTGATTTAGGTGAGACTCTGGAGTTTGGACTTTTGAGCTGATGCTGGAACAAGTTAACAATGTGGGGGCTGTTGGGATGGAGTGGATGTATTTTGCATATGAGAAGGACATGAGTTTTACAGCACCAGGGATAGAATGCTAGGGTCTGAATGTTCCCACCAAAACTCATGTTAAAATTTAATTCCCAGCCAGGCGCAGTGGCTCACGCCTATAATCCCAGCACTTTGGGAGGCCGAGGTGGGCAGATCATGAGGTCAGGAGATCGAGACCATCCTGGCTAACACGGTGAAACCCTGTCTGTACTGAAAAAACACAAAAAATTAGCCGGGCGTGGTGGCAGGTGCCTGTAGTCCCAGCTACTTGGGAGGCTGAGGCTGGAGAATGGCATGAACCCAGGAGGTGGAGCTTGCAGTGAGCCAAGATTGCGCCACTGCACTCCAGCCTGGGTGACAGAGTGAGACTCTGTCTCAAAAAAAAAAAAAAAAAAAAAAAAAAAAAAAAAAGTAATTCCCATTATAAGAGTACTAAGAGGTAGAGCCTTTAAGAGGTGGACTAATATCATTATTGGAGGGTGGGCTAGTTATCACAGGAATGTGCTCCTCATAAAAGGGTAAGTTAAGTCCCTATTTGCTCTCTCTGTCTCATTCACTAACTTCTACCTTCCAGCCTTCTGCCATGGGATGACCCTCACCAGATGCCAGTGCCACGCTCTTGAACTTAGCAGCTCTAGAACTATGAGCTGAAAAAAACTTTCTTTTCTCTGTAAATTACCCAGTCTGCGGTATTCAGCTATCATAATAGAAAATGGACTAACATAGCAGGCCATGGGCCTTCCCTTGAAGCAGGGAATAGAATGAGAGCCCCTGGGCACTGGAGCACTAGAAGGATATGACAGACCATATTTTCTAAAGACATTCATACCAATATATATTCTATTTCATATATTTTTACAGTGTGATGTTTAGAGCTCAGGGAATAAGTTCCTGATAACAATGAGAGGAGGTGAGAAACAAGAGAGACCATATGAGGAGCAGGTGACACCTCAGCCAAGAACTTAGTCAGAGGGAAGAGGTAACTCCAATTCCTGGGTAATGTTTGTGGAACAAATTATACATTATTGGAAAATAAGGTAAAGACAACCAGCGTAAAGTCACAACTCTTGCTCTACGCTCTCCAAATGGTGCATTATATCTCGGTTGATCCATTTGTTGTGTAACTTTTAATTCTTTGTTCAATTGGACTGACTTTTAACTTCCAAAGAGTGAAGATCAAATATCTTCATGTTCCCAGTGATTAACATAATATCTGAAAGAGAGCAGCAACTCAATATTTGTCTGATGAATAGGTAGATAGAGAAAATAACTGGTTGGCTGGCTAGCTCAGTGGATAAATGATGAATAGATAATAAATAATTGATGGATGGATGACAATTCCTCTTGGATCTTGAAGGCTGGCAAGCCTACCATACAAGCATGGACTTGTTATTCTGGCACTTAGGTGACTTTCTTATGGTCCTGAAACTGAAGGAAATCTATTTTTTAAAGCTTTTGGTTATCTCTTAATGATAATATACCTAAAGAGCTTTGTCTTTTTTTTTTTTTTAATTCTCCAAGAAACAGAAGCCAAAACACAGGCATCTGCAAGTAACCTATTGGAGAGTTGATCTCAGGAAGTGCTGGTAAAGGAGGGAAAAAGTAAGACAGGCAAGAGACAGGGGCCAATGAAAGATGCATTAATGAGTTTACTGCTTGGGAAACTGTACTCAATCCTTGTGTGAATATCTGGGAAATAGTGTAGAAGACATCTCAGAGTTGGCTCGTCCAAAAAGCAAGAGAGCTGGAGTATTTATCCACCAGCTCCCATCTCTCATTGGGTGAGGGTTAACCTCATGAGAAGGTCAACTGCTAGCATGTCTGATCTGCCCACATGCAGGCAAAAAAGTACCTGTGGCCAAAAAAGGAGAGTTGTGAGAGCTAGGGGCATGAAGCTATCCACCTACAGGCAAAGTGAGTACTGAGGGCTTACCAGCAGGACACTGACAACTTCCACTACAGGTTCCCTTCCACATAGGCCTTAAGCCCTGCTCATGTGGTTTGGAGACAGAGACGCTCAGGCCCCTGAGTTTCACGACACTCTCTGATTTTGGGCTGAGGGATATTTCCTGATAACAAAAGAGGTTGAAGTCAATCCTGTGTCACCTTCACTCTGTTTGATCCATTTGGGAACTATGGAGGCTGCACAATTCCTTGCAGGTTTTTGAGCTTTATCCTATCCATACCCATGTACTTACACCTCAATTAATTCTTCTTGTTATCCTATGTGTTGCTATAATGTTTGCTTTTAATCAAAATGTTGTTCAGTAAAATCTTTTTGCAAGGTTCCTTGTCTTCTGCCTCACTCTTCTGTCTTTAGAGCATTGATGAGACCTGGAAAGGTCTAACGGTGATAGAGAAACTGAGGCTCAGGTACTAGAAATAACTTAGACTAGGTTACCTACCAAGATTAAAACAGAGCTAGGATTACAATTCAAGTCTCTAGGCTTCTAGTTCAGAGGTTGACCAACTATGGTGCTTGGACCAAAACCAGCCCACTTCCTGGTTTTGTTAACGAAAGTTTGATTAAGGCATTTGTTACATATTATAGGAGATTTTTTTTGACACTACATTGGCAGAATGCAGTAGTTGCAACAGAGACATTGTAGTGTCAAAAAAGTCTTCCAGTACCTGAGCCTCAGTTTCTCTATCACCATTAGACCTTTCCAGGTTTCTTCAATGCTCTGAAAGACATCATGCCTGTCCTTACTTTAACTTCTAAATACCCATGCATTCAAGCAAGGACATCCCTCAATAGCTGCATGGCTTTCTGTAAGGAGTGGGTAATTTTAGGTGTATATCTTTCATGTTGGAGCCTGAGGAGTGGAGGCTAGGTGGGAAAACACTAGACTTGAAGTCAGAAGATGTGAACTGGAGTCTCATCTCTGCCTCTTAGTCAGTTGCATAATCTTGGGCAATTCATTTAACCTTTCTATACCTTGGTTTCCTCATCTATAAAATGGGGAAAACTGCCTACTTTTATGGGTCACTGTGAAGTCTAAAGGAGAGAGACTGTATGTGAGAGGACATTGTGACTGTGTGTAACGTGAGATAAATTGGGGAATAATAGGATAAACAACAGCCTAGAACAGGGCAAACATTTTCTGTAAAGGGCCAGATAGTGATTTCTATCCTGTTCAGTGGGAGGAGTCCACTCTTTTTCTACCCTGACTATTATCCCTTGGGGTCATGCCTTCTCTTATTTTAACTCCTAACTACCCACTGTGGTGTTTTACATATACTTTTTCATCCAGGGTTCCTGGCTTATGACTCCCATAACCTTTGTTATAGTCTTTTGTTATAATGTTGGGTATGTTAGGCCTCAGGAAACAGAATATTTCTGACCTTTTTCCACCTTCCCCTAGTGAGGACTCTAATCTTCCCTGATCTTTCTGAGTGTGAATCATAAGACCCTCATTCCAGAAAGGGTCCTGCCCCATACCCTGGGAGAAGGAATGTTGACGTCATGAGGCTTCCATAAAAACCTAAGAAAACAGGAATTGAAGGCAGCTTCCAGATAGCTGAACATCTGGAGGTTCCTCCTGGAGGGTGGCACACCCTGGGAGGGTATGAAAGCTCTGCACTCCTTTACCTGTACCACACCTTACGTGTCTCTTCATTTGTATTCTTTGTAATATCCTTCATAATAAATCAGTAAATGTAAGTAAATGTTTCCCTGAGTTCTGTGAGCTGCTCAAGCAAATTAATCAAACCCAGAGAGAGGGTCATGGGAATCCCGACTTGAAGCCATCTTGCAGGGGCAAGAATGAGCCACAACCCTGTGGGATCTGACACTGTCTCCAGGTAGATTATGTGGGAATTGAATTGGAGGACACCCAGTTGTTGTCTGCTGCTTGATGTGTGGGCCAAAATCCCCACATTTAGTCACAAAACTCTTCTGTGTTGATTGTTGCAGTGTGAGAGCAGAGGAAATACATGGTTCGAGTTGTTTTGAAATACCCATTCTGCCAAGCACCTTGTTCAACAGACTCATGACTTTCTGTATGGCTTGAATAATATTAGATATATGTCTCTTATATTTTCTTTTTACCTTCAACCCAAACAGATAGCTCTACAAGATAAATTATAAGAATTCGGGACCATGCTTAGGTTCTGCAACAGTGTCAGATTCCTATAATGTTTTCTAAATGCTTTCTCTAAATTTCTGTATTTCTCTTATTGCAGACTAGTAACTAGCAATCTGTGGCCCCACACCAATCCACACCTTGAGTGGCACTACAAGAGATACCCCTTCTTTATTTTTCAATGTGCTGGTTTCCTTTTGTATGCTCCATGCTCTGTTCCTCTCCACCCTCTCAGTACTGGCCCTGATTTCTTCTGTATTTCTATGTGTAAAGCAGAATTGAGACTTCATTGTAGCATTGTTAAGGTTTTGATTACCTCCATAAGCTCTGCCTACCAAAAATGCTGGCTCTCTACCTATTCTCTCAGGAATGGCTGCCCTGTGCCAGGCTCTCTCTCTTCCTCTCTGTGCACTCTGCCTACATTTGGGTGGCATCTGTCACTTAACCAGAGCAAAGGGAGAGTCTGTTTACCATCTTTGTGACAGGAGTGTCACTTCCTCACTGGGATCTAAGCTGAAAATGGATGTCCCCACTGGGCAGAAGCAGGGTAGACACTACCTGCATCCTGTCATTGAGACAGGAGCGTTTTCTGGACCCCTTCATGGGACTTGTGACAGGTGTGTGACACATTTGCCATCATGTGCTCAAACCCCTTACGGGATTGGAGTAGTCAGGTGAGCAGGTGCAGGAGCCAGGGCAAGTGCTTTTGGGCTCCAGCCTCATGGCAGTGTCTAGGGGTGTTACAATGCTCTTTTAGTCCTGCTGTCTGGGGATGGCTTAAGTATTAAACAGCTCAGTGTGACGGCCTTTCTGGGTTCCTGCACCCAGTATGTCTCAAATTCTTGTCCAGTGTCCAGGAAGAATCAAGTCCACATGGACTTGAAGGATGGAGAATACGAGGATTTTATTGAGTGTTAGAGGTGACTCTCAGCAGGATGGGTAGCTGGAGAGGGGATGGAGTGGGAAGATGATCTTCCCCTGGAGTTTGGCCATCTTGCGGCTGATCTCTCTGACTGTCCACAGCCAGACTCCTCTCAACGTTCATATGCTTCCTCTCTTCTCTCCTTCTCTGCTGTACTGCTCTGCTGCTCTTCCACTCTGCCACCCTTCTGCTCGTGGAACCTGGGGTTTGGGGTTTATATGGACACAGGATAGGGTAGTGTGGCAGGCCAAAAGGCAGCATTTGGGTGAAAAACAGGAATGCCTGTTCTCATTTAGGGCCGCAGGTCCAGGCATGAGGGTGGAGCCCTCACCAGGGACCCTGCTCTCCTGCCTCCATGTCCGTATCATCATCCCCCTGGGAACTACTTCTCCTCACTGCTGTCCCTTGCCTCCAGATACAAAGCCCTACTTGACTGATTTCATTTCTAGTTGATCACATCATACTGAATACCGAGTAACTAGAAGATTCATTGAATGACAGCTGCCTTGCCAGAAAGCCTAGTCGTTCCCATTGATTCAAACCTCCCTTAAAGCTACTAAGAATAGGTGCATAGGCATTTTTTTAACAAGAAGAGATAGGTGCATATTTTAAACTATATACCAATTTAATCTGAAGTGTTAGTTGCTGAAATACACTGTGAAGTAGCATTTTTAAATGAATAAAATTTTAGCCTTTACTCCCAGTTTGTGTTTAGACTTTGATGACTACATTTCTCCAGAAGACAAAGTATTTTGGGAACGGTTTGGGAATAGAACTGGCTTCAGTTGAAATTAAAGATTGTCACCGTCAGATATTTTGTCTCTATACCCTTTCATCTCCTACTTTTAGCTCCATGATTTGTTAATTTTCCTATATTTCAAAGGCAAGAGGTGCCAACCTTGACAAAGGCAGAGAGGCACTGGGGAAAGGGAAGGAACTTCCAAACTGGAGGAAATACATTATCATGTAAATGTTATTTCAAATACTTGGAAAGATATTTTAGTTAAAGATAATGTTTTTAAAGATTAAAAATACTAAACTTTTAAAGATTCAAGACATTCTTATTAAATTAAAATGTTGGGCAAATGCCAAAAAAGTATTGTGGTTTGAGAAGTCTGACAAATATAAAGATTCTGTTTCCTAAATCCATCGAAGTCCCATATCCCAGGAAAACTGAGACTCACAGCTTTCCAGACAACTTAAATCCCCAAAGCATGACATGCTATAAGATTCTGGGTCATCACTGGAATTCAGGGTATTCCAAAGATTGTCCTCCTTCTTCCTGGCCTCCCTCCTTCCTATTGATTCTAGCAGCTGATATTTAAATATCAGGACAAGAAATAACACTGTTTTCCCCCAGCTGTTTTTAAAAAATGAATTGTTGAAGCCAGACATGATTGTCATTGCACAGCCCCAATGTGTAACTGACACTTTTTAAGAAGTTATTTTTTTCTTTCAAAACACAAGTGTGACAATTCCTACATAAAATTAATCCTCTGTCAACTGGGAAACACAATCCCTCTAATTTTTTAGCACACTACTTTTAGAAGAAAGAGGCAATTGAAAAGAAAACTAGCTAATGTTGAGCACATTTGTTTAAGGGAACTTTCTTTTTTTTAATTATACTTTAAGTTTTAGGGTACATGTGCACAACATGCAGGTTTGTTACATATGTATACATGTGCCATGTTGGTGTGCTGCACCCATTAACTCATCATTTACATTAGGTATATCTCCTAGTGCTAACCCTCCTCACTCCCGCCACTGCACGACAGGATCTGATGTGTGGTGTTCCCCACCCTGTGTCCAAGTGTTCTCATTGTTCAATTCCCACATATAAGTGAGAACATGTGGTGTTTGGTTTTCTGCCCTTGCGATAGTTTGCTCAGAATGATGGTTTCTAGCTTCATCCATGTGCCTACGAAGGACATGAACTCATCCTTTTTTATGGCCGCATAGTATTCCATGGTGTATATGTGCCACATTTTCTTAATCCAGTCTATCATTGATGGACATTTGGGTTGGTTCCAAGTCTTTGCTATTGTGAATAGTGCCGCAATAAACATACGTGTGCATGTGTCTTTATAGCAGCATGATTTATAATCCTTTGGGTATATACCCAGTAACAGGATGGCTGGTCAAATGGTATTTCTAGTTCTAGATCCTTGAGGAATTGCCACACTGTCTTCCACAATGGTTGAACTAGTTTACAGTCCCACTGACAGTGTAAAAGTGTTCCTATTTCTCCACATCCTCTCCAGCACCTGTTGTTTCCTGACTTTTTAATGATCACCATTCTGACTGGTGTGAGATGGTATTTTATTGTGGTTTTGATTTGCATTTCTCTGATGGCCAGCGATGAGCATTTTTTCATGTGTCTGTTGGCTGCATAAATGTCTTCTTTTGAGAAGTATCTGTTCATATCCTTCACCCACTTTTTGATGGGGTTGTTTGATTTTTTCTCATAAATTTAAGTTCTTTGTAGATTCTGGATATTAGCCCTTTGTCAGATGAGTAGATTGCAAAAATTTTCTCTCATTCTGTAGGTTGCCTGTTCACTCTGATGGTCGTTCCTTTTGCTGTGCAGAAGCTCTTTAGTTTAATTAGATCCCATTTGCCAATTTTGGCTTTTGTTGCCATTGCTTTTGGTGTTTTAGACATGAAGTCCTTGCCCATGCCTATGTCCTGAATGGTATTGCCTAGGTTTTCTTCAGGGTTTTTATGATTTTAGATCTGATATTTAAGTCTTTAATCCATCTTGAATTAATTTTTGTATAAGGCGTAAGGAAGGGATTCAGTTTCAGCTTTCTACATATGGCTAGCCAGTTTTCCCAGCACCGTTTATTAAATAGGGAATCCTTCCCCTATTTCTTGTTTTTTGTCAGGTTTGTCAAAGATCAGATGGTTGTAGATGTGTGGTATTATTTCTGAGGGCTCTGTTCTGTTCCATTGGTCTATATCTCTGTTTTGGTACCAGTACCATGCTGTTTTGGTTACTGTAGCCTTGTAGTATAGTTTGAAGTCAGGTAGCATGATGCCTCCAGGTTTGTTCTTTTGGCTTAGGATTGTCTTGGCAATGTGGAGTCTTTTTTGGTTCCACATGAAGTTTAAAGTAGTTTTTTCCAATTCTGTGAAGAAAGTCATTGGTAGCTTGATGAGGATGGCATTGAATCTATAAATTACCTTGGGCAGTATGGCCATTTTCACGATACTGATTCTTCCTATCCATGAGCATGGAATGTTCTTCCATTTGTTTGTGTCCTCTTTTATTTTGTTGAGCAGTGGTTTGTAGTTCTCCTTGAAGTGGTCCTTCACATCCCTTGTAAGTTGAATTCCTAGGTATTTTATTCTCTTTTAAGCAATTGTGAATGAGAGTTCACTCATGATTTGGCTCTCTGTTTGTCTGTTATTGGTGTATAGGAATGCTTGTGATTTTTGCAAATTGACTTTGTATCCTGAGACTTTGCTGAAGTTGCTTATGAGCTTAAGGAGATTTTGGGCTGAGACGATGGGGTTTTCTAAATATATAACCATGTCATCTGCAAACAGGGACAATTTGACTTCCTCTTTTCCTAATTGAATACCCTTTATTTCTTTCTCCTGCCTGATTGCCCTGGCCAGAACTTCCAACACTATGTTGAATAGGAGTGGTGAGAGAGGGCATCCCTGTCTTGTGCCCATTTTCAAAGGGAATGCTTCCAGTTTTTGCCCATTCAGCATGATATAGGCTGTGGGTTTGTCATAAATAGCTCTTATTGTTTTGAGATACGTCCCGTCAATACCTAATTTATTGAGAGTTTTTAGCATGAAAGGCTGTTGAATTTTGTCGAAGGCCTTTACTGCATCTATTGAGATAATCATGTGGTTTTTGTCTTTGGTTCTGTTTATATGATGGATTACATTTATCGATTTGTGTATGTTGAACCAGTCTTGCATCCCAGGGATGAAGCCCACTTGATCATGGTGGATAAGCTTTTTGATGTGTTGCTGGATTTGGTTTGCCAGTATTTTATTGAGAATTTTTGCATCAATGTTCATCAGGGATATTGGTCTAAAATTCTCTTTTTTTGTTGTGTCTCTGCCAGGCTTTGGTATCACGAAGATGGTGGCCTCTTAAAATGAGTTAGGGAGGATTCCCTTTTTTTCTATTGATTGGAATAGTTTCAGAAGGAATGGTATCAGCTCCTCTTTGTACCTCTGGTAGAATTTGGCTGTGCATCCGTCTGGTCCTGGATTTTTTTGCTTGGTAGGCTCTTAATTATTGCCTCAATTTCAGAGCCTGTTATTGGTCTATTCAGGGATTCAACTTCTTCCTGGTTTAGTCTTGGGAGGGTGTATGTGTCCAGGAATTTGTCCTTTTCTTCTAGATTTTCTAGTTTATTTGCATAGAGGTGTTTATAGTATTTTCTGACGGTAGTTTGCATTTCTGTGGGATCGGTGGTGATATCCCCTTTATCATTTTTTATTGCGTCTATTCGATTCTTCTCTCTTTTCTTCTTTATTAGTCTTGCTAGCGGTTTATCAATTTTGTTGATCTTTTCAAAAACCAGCTCCTCGAGTCACTGATTTTTTGAAGGGTTTTTTGTGACTTTATCTCCTTCAATTCTGCTCTGATCTTAGTTATTTCTTGCCTTCTGCTGGCTTTTGAATGTGTTTGCTCTTGCTTCTCTAGTTCTTTTAATTGTGGTGTTAGGGTGACAATTTTAGATCTTTCCTGCTTTCTCTTGTGGGCATTTAGTGCTATAAATTTCCCTCTACACACTGCTTTAAATGTGTCCCAGAGATTCTGGTATGTTGTGTCTTTGTTCTCATTGGTTTCAAAGAACATCTTTATTTCTGCCTTCATTTCTTTATGTCCCCAGTAGTCATTCAGGAGCAGGTTGTTCGGTTTTCATGTAGTTGAGCAGTTTTGAGTGAGTTTCTTTTTTTTTTTTTTTTTTGAGATGGAGTCTCGCTCTGTCACCCAGGCTGGGGTGCAGTGGCGGGATCTCAGCTCACTGAAAGCTCTGGTCCCAGGTTCGCACCATTCTCTTGCCTCAGCCTCCCGAGCAGCTGGGACTACAGGCGCCCACCACCACACCCGGCTAATTTTTTGTGTTTTTAGTAGAGACGGGGTTTCACCATGTTAGCCAGGATGGTCTCAATCTCCTGGCCTCATGATCTGCCCGCCTTGGCCTCCCAAAGTGCTGGGATTACAGGCGTGAGCCACCACACCCAGCCTTGAGTGAATTTCTTAATCCTGCGTTCTAGTTTGATTGCACTGTGGTCTGAGAGACAGTTTGTTATAATTTCTGTTCTTTTACATTTGCTGAGGAGTGCTTTACTTCCAACTATGTGGTCAATTTTGGAATAAGTGCGATGTGGTGCTGAGAAGAATGTATATTCTATTGATTTGGGGTGGAGAGTTCTGTAGATGTCTATTAGGTCCACTTGATGCAGAGCTGAGTTCAATTCCTGGATATCCTTGTTAACTTTCTGTCTCGTGGATCTCTCTAATGTTGACAGTGGGGTGTTAAAGTCTCCCATTATTATTGTGTGGGAGTCTAAGTCTCTTTGTAGGTCTCTAAGGACTTGCTTAATGAATCTGGGTGCTCCTGTATTGGGTGCATATATATTTAGGATAGTTAGCTCTTCTTGTTGAATTGATCTGTTTAAGAGAAATTTCTAGGCTAATCCCAGAGTCACACAGGTTCCACACGATTGCTTTCTTGTTCCGCATTTGTGGTTTTGGTCAGTGCTGATCAATAGTTATAATACTGACCCTCAGGCATGTTAACCTTCCTTTGACCATCAAAGGAAGAGTAAGTATTACTTGATGCATTGTCCTTACTAAGGCAGGAAATAATTAGACTGGAATGTTTTAGTAAGACTTTTAATATCAGTTTAAACCTTCATTGTAACTAATTCAGGAAGCTAGAATCCATATTCTTCGAATACTCTGGTTAAACTATTACCTCATTTGTAAAATGAGAGAATTCTATTAGAAAGTTCACTCATTTACCCAGCAAAGAGTTATTAAGTGTCTAATTTGTGCCAAATACTATGTTTGACACTGGAAATATAGGCATGAACAAAACAAAGTCCCTGCACTTATACTACTTATAGATTAATCAGAGAGATAGATATAAAGTAAATCATTACATAAATAATTTATAGTTGTAATTGTGGTAGGTGCTACAAAGAGAAAGTATGAGATGTTATGAAAAAATATTATGTGGACAGAGAGCTTAATCCAGGATTCTTAAATCTCAGCAGTGAGAGCTTGTGCAAAGGCATTGGGGTGGGATAGAGCCCACCCTTTAGAGAAAATGAAAGTAGGAAAACAGAGATAAAACAATATAAATGAGAAACGAGAGATGAGCCCAGAGACCAAGCAGTGAGTAAACACACAAGGCTCTCTGATGAGAGCCTTGTGGAGCATAACAATGAGTTCATACTTTATCCAAACAGCAATGGAAAACTGCCTGAGACTCTTCTTCATCCCCCAATATTGCTTCTATCCTTCTTCCTTTGGCAATAGGACCCCTGATTCTAGGCAGGCACACGGCGCCCAAGATAAAAATTACATTTCCTGGACTCCCTTGTGAATGAGTTCTGGCCAATGAAGTGCAAGCAGAAATAGTGGAAGCAACTTCCAGGAAGTATTTTTAAAGAAGAGAGTGTATTCTTCATTTTTCCATCAGGTGAGAATTCTGACATGATGGCAGGAGTTTGAGCAACCACTTTAGACCATGAAGTAGAAGCCACATTTTGAGGCTAGCAGTACTAGAAGGTGAAAGAAGCCTGAGTGCCTGTCATCATGGGGCCATACCAGTCCTGGAGATAGACCTCTGAGCTTCCTCAATATGAGAAAAAAATTATACTGAATTACACTTTTGTTCAAGTCACTGTTATTTTAAGCTTCCTCTCAGTCTCTGCTAAGCTTATTCTTAATTAATATTGAACTCAGTTCTTAAAAATAGAGTTTAAAGAAAGGTCTTTCATGATGGGATTATGATCTCTTAAATCCACAAATTTCTTTTGTGACATGGCTGAATATATTTAATATATGAAACAAAACCCTGAGAAAAACCTATTTGCTTGTTCATTTGTTTTTTTTAAGATTTAATGGATATTTATTTTCAGTGTTCCTTTTTTGAATATTTATGTGCTTATATTTTATTTTATTTTTTTAAGTTCTGGGGTACATGTGCAGGATGTGCGGGTGTGTTACATAGGTAAACGTGTGCCATGGTGGTTTGCTACACCAATCACCCATCACCTAGGTATTAAGCCCAGCATGCATTAGCTCTTTTCCCTAATGCTCTCCTCCCTTCCCCCACCCTCCCCTGACAGGCCCCAGTGTGTGTTGTTCCCCTCCCTGTGTCCATGTGTTGTTAATTTGTTTCTTTATCCAATCACTTATTCATTCAGCACCTACTATAAGTAAAGCACTTGTTTTAAGTATTGCAGAGGACAAAGCTCACAATTTGAGGCCTACCCTAAACGGACTCACTATTTAGAAACAAAGAAAGTAGTCATCAGTAAGATGCAAATGGCCAAAGAAGATGGTTAAGGAAAAGCTGATGTTAGGAAAATTTATGGAGGTAATAAACCATAATACATTGAGTTTAAGAGAGCGTATAAAACTACCATATAGCCTAAGCCTGTATAATGCCTCCAATCCAATTCAGAAACTATCTAAACTAACACTCTAAGACATAAAGTTTCAGCACAGCAAGAAGCTTTAGAGAGAGCTAATATTTGTCCAATTCTATAATTAATAGGATTCTGCTGACCTGAGCAAACCACTCAGGCAAAGTAAATAGGCAAAGATAATTTCTTTCTTTGAAATCAGGGATTAACGAAGAACACTCAGCCAAGCACTGGGCTTCAAACACCTGCTGATATCAGCTTTACCGCTGTTGTTGCTGAAGCTAGTCCTTAATCATGAGTTTATCACATTTGTGGAGATCTTACTTAAGAATTAATGCTGCAGATTTACATGGGAGGAATTTGATCCTGTGTCTAGAAGTTGAAGAGCCAAATCCCTCAGCAAACAATCCTTTGAGACTATTTAGGAGGACATAACAGCTGAAGAAGGAGGCATGTGGAAGTTTGGGTGCCACAAAATCTTGGGGCAGGGCAGTCAAGGGAGGAAAGGGCTATTTTTGAGCACCTCTGTGCTAGGGATTGTGTAGGGATATGAAAATGCCTATTTAATACTTATAACATCTCTGCAAGATTGTCATGTATCTCCTATCACAGGTAAAGAAACTGAGGCTAAAGAAGACATGATTTGACCCAATCATGGAATGAAGCTGCAGCTAGACCGTAAAACAGGTTCTGCCGTTTAAGGCAGGCTACCTGAAACTCTGTGGGATACGGTGTCTTCATTTGTAAATTGGAGGTGAGGGGTGTTAGCCGATGGTCTCCAAGAGTATTTCCCTCATAAAAGCCCAGCTATGGGTCTCTACCTGACAGCCAACAAACCCGTTGCTGTGTCTTGGGGGAACCTTCCAGTCCCAGTAATAGTGTGTCCGGAATTGGTGGGTTCTTGGTCTCACTAACTTCAAGAATGAAGCCGCGGACCCTCTCGGTGAGTGTTACAGCTCTTAAGGTGGCGCGTCTGGAGTTTTGTTCCTTCTGATGTTCGGATGTGTTGGGAGTTTCTTCCTTCTGGTGGGTTTGTGGTCTCGCTGGCTCAGGAGTGAAGCTGCAGACCTTCGCGGTGAGTGTTACAGCTCTTAAGGCAGCGCGTCTGGAATTATTCGTTCCTCCCGGTGGGCTTGTGGTCTCTGTGGCTTCAGGAGTGAAGCTGCAGACCTTCGTGGTGAGTGTTACAGCTCATAAAAGCAGTGTGGACTCAAAGAGTGAGCAGTAGCAAGACTTATTGCAAAGAGTGAAACAACAAAGCTTCCACGGTGTAGAAGGGGACCCGAGCGGGTTGCCACTGCTGACTCAGGCAGCCTGCTTTTATTCTTTTATCTGGCCCCACCCACATCCTGCTGATTGGTAGAGCCCAGTGGTCTGTTTTGACAGGGAGCTGATTGGTGCATTTACAATCCCTGAGCTAGATACAAAGGTTCTCCACCTCCCACCAGATTAGCTAGATACAGAGTGTGGACGCAAAGGTTCCCCAAGGCCCCACCAGAGTAGCAGCTAGATACAGAGTGTCGATTGGTGCATTCACAAACCCTGAGCTAGACACAGGGTGCCGATTGGTGTGTTTATAAACCTTGAGCTAGATACAGAGTGCTGATTGGTGTATTTACAATCCCTGAGCTAGACATAAAGGTTCTCCAAGGCCCCACCAGAGTAGCTGGATACAGAGTGTTGATTGGTGCATTCACAAACCCTGAGGTAGACACAGGGTGCTGATTGGTGTATTTACAATCCCTGAGCTAGACATAAAGGTTCTCCACATCCCTACCAGACTCGGGAGCCCAGCTGGCTTCATCCAGTGGATGCCGCACTGGGGCTGCAGGTGGAGGTGCCTGCCAGTCCCGTGCCGTGCGCCCGCACTCCTCAGCCCTTGGGTGGTCGATGGGACTGGGTGCCGTGGAGCAGGGGGCGGCACTTATCAGGGAGACTGGGGCCACACGGGAGCCCATGGAGTGGGTGGGAGGCTCAGGCATGGCAGGCTGCAGGTCCTGAGCCCTGTCCCATGGGAAGGCAGCTAAGGCCCAGTGAGAAATCGAGCACAGTGCTGGTGGGCTGGCACTGCTGGGGGACCCATTACACCCTCCGCAGCCGCTGGCCCTGGTGCTAAGCCCCTTATTGCCCGGGGCCAGCAGGGCCGGCTGGCTGCTCCAAGTGCGGGCCCGCCAAGCTCACGCCCACCCAGAACTCCAGCTGGCCCGCAAGCGCCGCCCGCAGCCCCGGTTCCTGCTCCTGCCTCTCACTCCACACCTCCCTGCAAGCTGAGGGAGCCAGCTCCGGCCTTGGCCAGCCCAGAAAGGGGCTCCCACAGTGCAGCAGTGGGCTGAAGGGCTTCTCAAATGCCGCCAAAGTGGGAGCCCAGGCAGAGGAGGCACCGAGAGCAAGCGAGGGCTGTAAGGGCTGCCAGCACGCTGTCACCTCTCAATAGTACACTCTCTCCTTTGTACTAAATTTACAAATTTAGTATAATAAACCAACTGTCTTTATAGCTATTCTTCATGTCATTTGAAAACACATGTGATTTGAAACTGGCACTCTCAAACACAATGTTGCACACTTTATGAAAAAGAACAAAATGAAAAAAATTACAAGATCAACACTTAAAAGTTTTGATTCCATGATTTTATTTGATGATGAGTCATTTCTGTCTTGTTTATAACTGTGGATGTAGGGAGTTAGTGTAGCAGCTCTGCTCCATGAAGCTCTTGAGGGCCTGAGACCCACCTAGGTCAGTGCTCTATCTTCCCTGTGATGTGGCCCTTGTCTTCATAGGCAAAGATAGGGAATAGAACTTCAGAAATAATATCTGCATCCCAGGCATGAGGATGACAGCAAAAGAAGAAGAAAAGAACGTGTACCAGCAGCCACATTGTACTGGTGTTTACATCTCATTGGCCAGAATTTAGTCACAGGACCAAGTGTTCCTGCCACACAAACTATGAAATATATTCTTTATTCTGGGCAGCCATATACTCTGCTGTAAGTCTGAGGCTTTATTATGAAGGAAGAAGTAGAGAATAGATACTGGTAATAACCAGCAGTCTCTGCCAGTAAGTAAAAAAGGGACAGTGAAGTTTGTATATTATCTTGTTACATATGAAGAAGAGGATATATGCAGGCATGCCTTTTTTATTGCACTTTGCTATATTGCATTTCACAGACACTGCATTTAAAAAAAAAAAAGGGAGGTTTGTGGCAACCTGCATTCAGCACCATTTTTCTAACAGCATGTGCTCACTTCCTGTCTCTGTCATGTTTTGGTGCTTCCTGCAATATTCCAAGCTTTCATTATTGTTACACCTATTATGATGATCTGTAATCAGTGATCTTTCATGTTACTATCATAATTGTTTTGGGACACCACGAATCATGTCTATACAGGATGGTGAACTTAATTGATAAATGTGTATGTTCCAACTGCTCCACCTGTACCTGGACAAAACGGGTCTGGCTGCTTGGTCTCATGGTCTAATTAATGAGATGTGGACAGACTGGTAAAGAAGAGGGTTTACTTCTGTAACCGGCCACAGGGAGAAGGTCAGGGAAGTTCACCAGACCACTCAAAATTACAAGTTTTTCTTCAGGCCTTATATACATTCAAGCTATATGCCTACATGTGGTGTGCACCTGCCATTAGGGGTGTTTCACTCAATCTAATCTTTAACTAGGGTCTGGGGTCTGGAAAGTTTCTTTAGAACCTTGGAAAGATTACTTAATCTTAAGTGGGCCCTTGTACAAGGTGTGTGTAAAAATGCCTTCATTATTTTATCAGGGTTTAAGGTCTGAGAAAACCCAGGTGGGGTCTTAATGGGTTTGTCTTCACATTTCAGCCCTTGTATTAAGGCACCAGTTTCTCCAACTACTAATGTTTAATTTACACATTCATCAGAATTACAGTAGAGGGTTAGTGGAAACTGACTGTTCTGGTTGCTAACGGAGACCTGGCCTGCCACAGTCCCCACAATTTGTGCATGATTCCTATCATGTCAGTTACTTTTTTTAAGATTAATTCATTAAAGATTAGTACAAAAGTGTAAACTATAACATAGCAGACTAAAGAGAAATGGGCTACGTAGTCTCTCTGGCTACTTCCTGCTGAATAGGGTCGTTGTCAGGGGGCGTTAGAGTGGAAGATGTCTCTTTGGCTCTGGTAATGCTCCTGACTTGGGGGGCTCAAGGGAAGTTCCTGTTGAAATATAATCGAATGAGTTTGGGGAATGTGTTGGGAAAACATGCGACAAAAATACAGTCCACAACACAGTGCTATGCCTACGCTCCAGAGGGTGGCAAGGACAATGAGGATTTTCTGCCACCAGGAAGGTCTTCCACTAAACTGAGATGCTATCCAGTCATGGAGTGACAGTGCAGAGCTGGAGATGACTTGGATTTGCCGACATGTATCCTCTAAGGCCAAGGAAATGTTTCTAGAGTTATTGGGAATATACACACAACATTCAGTTTTGATGAGGGCACAGGTTCCTCCTTCAGCCGCAGTTAAAATATCTAGGGCCATTCGGTTTTGTAAGATGTCCTCGTGCATATAATACACTTCAGCATTCATGAGAGAAATACTTTGGAGGCTGTCATTTAGGGCCCGTTGGGTAAAATTGGCTAGAGCCTCTATGTGCTGTATTACAGTTCCTAAACCTACTGAGGGCATAAAGATTGTGGGTAGGTGATCATTCCTGTGAACAATGGCCCTAGTCCCTTGGTTAACCACATGTGGAAGATAAGGATAGACTTCCATGGTTTTTACCCAGCGTCCTTGTGCCCAGGGAATACCTAGAGTGCAGCATCCTAACCAACCTGAGGGAAGCCAAGGCCATAAGTTTGGGCTGCAGAGCCACTGGGTTCCGTTGGGAGCATACCAATTCAAGCCAGGTTGCTGAGACCAGTCTGTGGCAAATAGGTCCCTCTGTTGTAACAGTATAGTATGTCGGCACTGTCCAGGTGGAATCCATCCCATAACACGAGTTGTGTTTGGCCAGTTATCAAGGGAGTGATTTCTTTGCTCCCAGCATAAGGGAGCTATCTGGCTTAAGTGTCCCTTAGTGGCTGTCAGCCAAATGAACCCGTCCCATATCTGGAGAAACCCATTTCTATATTGAGTGTTCTGAGGTCTGGAAGTCTGGACAAACACCTTGGTATCCAACAAGGGGATGGCAAAGGCTATTACTTTATCCCTTGTCTCATTTACTGAGAATGGTTTATCATGCCCTGGCTCATTTAAAGTTTTATTTATAGGCCATTCTGAAATGTTTTTTCTAGTTACCCCAGTCATCTGTGCCCCTGTCCATTGTTTAAGATCCCCTATAAAGCTTTGAAAAAAAACCCAGTCTTTCCCTTGTAGCGGGGAGACCCACCAAGGTAGCTCCATGGTGTTAGTGACGGGTAACGAACCACAGACCCAGCAAGGGTCTCCTTGTTGTAAGCCATCTGCATAACTGTGTGCCCATTGTAGGAAAACGTTAGAGGTAGAGGCATTAACAACAAAAGGAGCAGAAAGGAAAAATATTATAAGGGAAAATCTTGTCATTTGTTGAACAGAAATCTTAGGCCTTCCAGGGGTTCCATCTCCCATTCGGTGGCCTTGGTGTCCTCTGTCGTGGATGTTTCTTCTTGCAGGAACTTTTTCAATCGTGTGTAGTGGATCCATGGCTTGATGTCCACCAGTTTCAGTGCTGAACTGGTGCTTAGCAGCACATCATAGGGCCCTTTGTATTTCTCCTGCAGCTGGGAAGCAGGGTCTGTTTCTTTCCATTCTTTTAATAGCACTTGATCACCGGGCTGGAATGTGTGGCACAGTTCTTCAGAGTTCACAATGCTCCTGTTAAATTTATGCAAAAGGTTAAGAGTTTGTCCCAAGTGAGTAACACAGTTTTTAATAGTTAACTCCCTGTTAAGGGGTGCCTCAGTAACCCGAGATGGATTAGCAGCAAAGGGTCTCCCAAATATAATTTTGTAGAGACGAGACTTAATCCCACTTTGGGGGTTACCCTTACCCGGAGCAGTGCAATGCCGAGTACCTGAATTCCCTTTAACTGGGTTTCCCAGCACAGTTTGGCAATGATTGTTTTCAGTGTTAGATTCATTCTTTCCATCTGTCCGGAAGATTGAGGTCTCCACACCGAATGTAGTTTCCATTTTATTCCAAGTGCCTTATTTACTTATTGAGTTATGTCAGATGTGAATGAGGGCCCATTATCGCTTTGAATTATGTCCAGAAGCCCATACTGAGGTATGATTTCCTTTAAGAAAACTTTAATTACTTCAGTTGCTCATTCTGTGAGCCTCTACCCAGCCAGAGAAGGTGTCTACTAGAACTAAGAGGTATTTGTATCCTCCACGGGAGGGTGGCATTTGAGGAAAGTCTATTTGCCAATTTTCCAGTGGGTATTTTCCTCTGTTTTGATGTCTGGGTTGTCCTCAACTGTGATTGTTAAGTTCATTTCTAGCACACAGATAACAGCACTGGACTGTATTTTCCAAATTAGCTTTTAGCCCTTTCCCTCTCTAATACCACTGAATGAAGGCTAATGAACACTCTCACCCATAGTGTGTGCTATCATGGATATACTTTAACATTGGATGGACAAGTTGAGCCGGTATCCAAATTAGGCCCTTGTTATTTACTTTCAAGCCTTCCTTATTTAAAGCAACTCCCTTGCTTTCTGCACTTTTCTCATTCAAGGACTATATTGGGGCCTAAAGCCTGTTAAATCTATTTGAGGAATTAGAGGTGTCTGGAATTCAATGCTGGCTAAGTGCCAGGCAGTGTGGTCTGCAAAGGCATTCCCTTTGCTATTTTGAAATTGCTGTGTTGATGGCCAAGACAATGCATTACAGCAACCACCTGTAGAGCCTTTATTGCTTCTAGTAATTCCAGTACTTGTGTGGCATATTTAATTTCAGTATTGACAGCCTTCAGTAATCCCCTCTCCTTCCAAATGTCCCCATGAGCATGGACTATCATGAATGCATATTTAGAGTTAGAATCAGCATAGATGTTGGTGTTTTTACCTTGGGACAACTGCAGGCTCTTATAAGGGTGATTTGCTCTGCCTTCTGTGCAGAGGTTCCCACGTAAAGTCCTTGCCTCTGCTACCTCTTAAGAGGTCACCATAGCATATACAGCATTCTTTCTTCCATTGGTTACCAGGCTGCTCCCATCTATGAAAAATGTCCAATCTACATGCAGCGTGGCTGTATTCTTCAAATCAGGATGGCTGGAAAATACTTGATCAATAACTTATAAACAATTATGCATAGGTTGTTTTGGTTCTTTGGTAGGAAGAAGTAAAGTAGCTGGGTTCAGGGCTCTGGTGGTTTGTAATTTCACTGTGGGGTCATTTAAAAATGGCCTGGCATTTGCCTAACTTGCTGCTGTCAGCCAATAGTCTCCCTTTTGTTCCAGTGGCACCAGCACTTGGCAAGGCACATAGACTGTGACAGGCTGTCCCAAAGTTAGCTTCTCAGCTTCCTTTAACAGCAGGCTGGTGGCAGAGACTGCCCTTAAACAAGGGGGTGGGCAGCCTTTGGCCACAGTCACCAGCTGCTTAGAAAAGTAAGCTACTGGCTGTAATATTTCTCCTAACTTTTGGGAGAGGACCCTGAGTGCCAGACCCAGTCTCTCATGATTGTACAGTTGAAAGAGCTTGTGAGGATTTGGAAGCCCCAAGACTGGTGCAGAAATTAACTTACATTCAGTTGTTTGAATGCATGTTGGTGTTTGTTTCACTTCCCAGTTGAAGGGATCATTGTCAGCCCCTTTCAACAGCTCATATAGTGGCTTTGCTGGCAGTCCATAGTTAGGAATCCAAATGCAACAAAACCCTGCCATACCCAGAAATCCTCTCAGCTGTCTTCTAGTAGAGGGTGTGGTGATGGAGGCAATTGCATTTCATGTTTCCACCATCGAGGCTCTGGTTCCCTTCTGCAAGAGAAACCCTAAGTACCCCACAGTTTTTCTGCATATTTGAGCCTTTTTACTTGAAACCTTGTACCCATGGGTTGCTAGGTGATTTGGAGTTTTAATGGTATTATTTTGACATCCCCATTCACAGGGGCTAGATATTAGTAAATCATCCATGTATTCTAACAACACCCCATTTTCCAATTGTAAACTTCTTGAGTCTTGAGCCAAGACTTCTCCGAATATAGTTGGAGAGTTTTTAAACCCATGTGGGAACACAATCCAATAACACTGAAACTGAGTTGCGGCTTCAGGATCTGTCCATTCAAAGACACACCGCAATTGACTTTCTATGCGTACAGGTATGCAAAAGAAAGCATCCTTTAAATCCAATACTGTAAACCATTCACGATCTCCAGGAAGAGAAATAAACACAGTACATGGGTTAGCTACAGTGGGATGTACATCTTCTACAATGTCATTAATTGCCCTTAAATCTTGTACAAATTAAAATTTGTGTGAGTGAGGCTTTTTCACCAGCAAAATTGGAGTGTTGTAAGGAGAATGATGGGGTACTATTAGGCCATACTACAAGAACTGGACAAAGACTGGTTGAATGCCTTCTAGTGCTTCTCTTTTTAAAGTGTATTGTTTCTTCTGGACTGGCTAGGCTCCTTCCTTAATTTTAATTTTCACTGGGTCCACACTGATGGCCTTCCTGGGCCCATGTGAAGCCCAAATCTCTGAGCTTACCTTGTCAAGGATTTCCTGTGGAATAGTCCCTGTTTTAGAGTTGGAAGCCTCTGAGTCTGTTAGGAGCGCCTGCAGCTGAAACCCATGTTCCAGAGGCACTTGGGAGACACATCTGGTGTTTCTCGGGATTACAGACTTACATAGCAGGTACATAGCAGGTCTCTGCCAAGTAAAGGGACTGGGAACTCTGGCACATAAAGGAATTTAAGAGTATTAATTCATTGCCCACTTTACAAGAGAGGGGACACAGGAACCATTCCGATCTTAGTTCTCTGCTTATCCCAACCACATTAACAGAAGTATTAGAAAGTCCAGTTACTGGGGTGTTAACCACTGAATAAGGAGTGCCAATGTGGACTAAGAAATCCACTTTTTGTTTCTTTACTGTCAATTTTACCCCAGGCTCCTGTGGGGAGATTTTAATATCAGATAGGGTTGGAGCTGTTGGGGGCCTTGGGCACCTTCAATCTTCCTCAAATTCATTTCCAGGCTTAACTCCCATCAGTGATTTTGGTTCACTCTGGCTTAATTTTGGACAACCTTGTCCCAATGTCCTGTTTCCCAGCAGCAAGCACATTGATCCTTTTCTATTTTTCCTCTCCATTTTTGGAATCTCTTTCCTTTTGGATTTCCTCCTGCTGTGGCTAGAAGTATTGTTGCCTGTCACAGGTTTTTAACTTCCCTGGTTTCTCTGCTGTTATAAACCTTTAATGCAATATCAATCAATTGGGAGGCATTCGTCCCAAAGGCCCCTTCTATCTTTTGGAACTTTTTCCTGATATCAGGGGTACTTTGCCCTATGAAAGTCATATTAACCATATTGACATTTTCAGGATCTTGTAGGGGTCTGTATATTTTCTGAACACCTGACAATATGTTCCATGAACTCAGAGGGTTCCTCATTAGGTTTTTATTGGAGCTGCTGTACATTGTTTAAGCTCTTAGGTTTAGGCATTCCAGATATCATGCCTTTTTTTTTTTGTTTGAGACGGAGTTTTGCTCTTGTTGCCCAGGCTGGAGTGCAATGGCATGATCTCGGCTCACTGCAAACTCCGCCTTCCAGGTTCAAGTGATTCTCCTGCCTCAGCCTCCCGAATAGCTGGGATTACAGGCATGCACCACCACGCCCAGCTAATTTTGTATTTTTAATAGAAACAAGGTTTCTCCATGTTGGTTAGGCTGATCTCGAACTCCTGACCTCAGGTGATCCACCCGCCTTGGCCTCCCAAAGTGCTGGGGTTACAGGCATGAGCCACCATGCCCAGCTGATTTCATGCCTTTTAATATGTATCTCCTGTAGTGTTCCAAGTGAACCATGCCAGCCGCATTGGCCTCATTAGGGTACCAACTTGGGTCCATAGAGAGGATTGCCCTATCAGAATCTGGAGTATCATCTAGGTCCTCATCATAAAGGTGTTGCACTTCCTCTTTTGCTTTGTCTAAAACTAGCTGCCACTCATCTGCAGTGAGCATAATATTCAGGAGGGCTTACACACCTGCCCATGTGCTACAATGAGTAGCAAATATAGTAGTATATAATTCAGTCATTTTCTGGGGATCCTGTCTATATGAAGGATGTTTTTCCAATTTAACAAGTTGGATGTGGAAAAAGGATTGTAGGCCCAATAATATCCAGCCAGAGCTCCTTGCTGATTAACCCCTACTGGGTATTGTCATAGTGGAAATTGCCCTGCTCCAGGGTCAGTGACCTCCCCAAATTAGTACCTTGCCTAGTTCGAGAGGGAGACACTAACTCTGCGGCTTCCTTATATTCTGGGGGCAGTAACTCTTCCTTTCCTTGCCTTAGCACTGGAGCAGTAGCTACTATAGGGGTTAAGAGCATTTATTAACTGTTGGGTTTCTGAGTCCTTTCTTCCTCCCCTTAGGAGTCAGGACAAACCTTAGCAGTGTATTGTACCATTAACTTATTCCCTTCTTTCTTAACATCCTAATCATACAGTAACATGGATGCCAGGACATATGGCATTTCCCCCCATTTTCCCAACCGTTGGCAGAATAGTTCTAACTGAGAGATGGTGTGAAAGTTCAAGGTCCCACAAACTGGCCACCTTTCTTCAGACTCTAAAACATACATTGGCCAAGCTATGTTACAGTAAAAGATTAATTTCTTTTTAGTCATGGGTGGATAACCATATTGTTTCCAATCTGCCAGAATTCTCCCTAGGGGGCGATGGGCAGGAACAGAGACAGTGTTTCCCATCTTGAGTGCTCAAAACTTAACAGATAACAGACACACAAAAACAGATTCTCACAGCCAAATGTAAATATATTTCAAACAAATGCAAAGTAGATGTACAAATTAGCCCTATTGTCTCCTTAAGGGTACCAAAATGAATGGCTTTGCAAGCCCCGATAAGGAAGACAATAGACTCCCTGCTTATGATCCAGTTTTACTCACCCCTTCAGTGTCCTAGCCCCTGTTCTACCCCAGTAGCAAGGGGATGGGTGGTCCTTTTGCCCAGGGAAAGTTCTCAGAAGCGTCCTCAGGACAAACTGTACCTAGCAGCTGCTGGGAGTCTCCTAAAGACCGTCAGGTCACAAGCCTCTAGCTGCTGAGGGCAGCTCTGTCCCAGTGGAGCTGCCAGATTTTGTACCCGGATAAAACTGAGGTGTGGCTGCTTGGTCTTATGGTCCAATTAATGAGATGCAGATTACCTGGAAATAAGAGAGTTTATTTCTGTAAGCAGCCACAGGGAGAAGGTCAGGGAAGTTCATCAGATCAACTGAGAGTTACAAGTTTTTTTTCAGTGCTTATATACATTCAAGTTATATGTCTACATGCGAGTGTGCACCTACCAGCAAGAGTGTTTCATTCAATCTAATCTTTAACTATGTTCTAGGGCCTGGAAAGTTTCTTTAGAGCCCTGGACAAATTACTTAATCTTAAGTGGGCCCTGGTACAAGATGTGTGTAAGAATGCCTTCATCAGCCAGGAGTGGAGGCTCACGCCTGTAATCCCAGCAATTTGGGATGCCAAGGTGGCCTGGTCACCTGAGGTCGGGAGTTCGAGACCAGCCTGACCAACATGGAGAAACCCCGTCTCTACTAAAAATACAAAATTAGCTGGGCGTGGTGACGCATGCCTGTGATCCAAGCTACTCAGGAAGCTGAGACAGGAGAATTGCTTGAACCCAGGAGACATAGTTTGCAGTGAGCTGAGATCACGCCATTGCACTCCAGCCTGAGCAGCAAGAGCTAAACTCTATCTCAAAAACAAAAACAATAACAAAAAAGAGAAAAATGCCTTCATCATTGTATCAGTCTTTAAGGTCTGAGAAAGCCCAGGTGGGGTCTTGATGGGTTTGTTTTTACATTTCAGCCCTTGTACTAAGGCAGCAGTTTCCCTAGTTCCTAATATTTAACTTATACATTCATCAGAATTATAGTAAAGGATTAGTGGAAACTGACTGTTCTGGTTGCTAATGAAGACCTGGCCTGCCACACACCCACGGGCCATTTCCCCTGTGTGTGTGTCTCTCTCTTTCTCCCTCCTTAGGCCTCTCTATTCCCTGAGACGACATTGAAATTAGCCCAGTTAATAACCCTGCAATGGCCTCTAAGGGCTCAAGTGAAAGGAAGAATCACAAGTCTCTCGCTTGAAATAAAAAACTAGAAATGATGAAGCTTAGTGAGGAAGGCATATTGAAAGCTGAGACAGGCCAAAAGCCAGGCCTCTGGTGGCAAACAATTAGCTAAGTTGTGAATGCAAAAGAAAAGTTCTTGAAGGAAATTAAAAGTGCTACTCCAGTGAACACATGGATAAGGCCTTTCTGAAATACCCTTACTGCTGATTTGGAGAAAGTCTGCGTGGTTTATACAGAAGATCAAACCAATCACAACATTCCCTTAAGCCAAAACCTAATCCAAAGCAAGGCCCTAAACTCTCTTAAATTCTATGCAGGCTGAGAGAGGTGGGAAAGCTGCAGAAGAAAAGTTGGAGAAGCTGCAGAAATCAGTTCATGAGGTTTAAGGAAAGTAGCTATCTCCGTAACATAAAAGTGTGAGGTGAAGCAGCAAGTTCTGATGTAGAAGCTGCAGTAAGTTATTCAGAAGATCAAGCTAATATCATTGATGAAGGTGGCTATACTAAACAACACATTTTCAGTGTAGATGAAACAGCCTTCTTTTGGAAGAATATGGTGTCTAGAAGTTTCATAGCTCAAGAGGAGAAGTCAATGCCAGGCTTCAAAACTTCAGAGGTCAGACTGACTCTCTTGGTAGTGGCTAAAGCAGCTGGTGATTTTAAGTAGAAACCAATGCTCATTTGCCATTTTGAAAATCCTATGACCCTTAAGAATCATGCTAAATATACTCTGCCTATGCTCTATAAATGGACAAAAAAGGCTGGATGACAGCATATATCTTTGCACATGACTGAATATTTTAAGCCTACTGTGGAGACCTACAGCTTAGAAAAAAAGACTCCTTACAAAATATTATTGTTTATTGACAATGCCCCTGGTTACCCAAGAGTTTTAATGGAGATGTACAAGGATATTAATGTTGTTTTCCTGCCTGCTAACACAGCATCCATTCTGTAGCCCATATATCAAGGAGTAATTTTGACTTTTAAATCTTATTATTTAAGAAATACATTTCAAAAGGCTATAGCTGCCACAGATAGTGATTTATCTGATGTAACTGAGTAAAATGAATTGCAAACATTCTGGAAAGAATTCATCATTCTAGATGTCATTAAGAACATTCATCTGTGTGAAAAGGTCAAAATATCAACAGTAACAGAAGTTTGGAGGAAGTTGATTCCAACCCTCAAGGATGCTTTGAGGGGTTCAAGACTTCAGGGGAGGAAGTAACTGCAGATATGGTAAAAAAAAAACAAAACAAAACAATAGCAAGAGAACTAGAATTAGAAGTGGAACCTAAATGTGTGATTGAATTGCTGCATTCTCATGATGCAACTTGAATGGATGAGGAGTTACTTCTTATGGATGAGCAAAGAAAGTGGTTTATTGAGATGGAATCTACTCCTGGTGAAGATGCTGTAAACATTGTTGATATGACAACAAAGGAATTAGAATATTACATTAACTTAGTTGAAAAAGCAGCAACATGGTTTGAAAGGATTGGCTTCAATTTTGAAAGAAGATCTACTCTGAGTAAAGTGTTATCAAATAGCATCACATTCTATAGAGAAATTTTTCATGAAAGGAAGAGTCAATCAATGTGGCAAGCTTCAATTTAAGATGTCTTATTTTGTGAAATTGCCACAACCAACCTAACCTTCAACATCACCAGCCTGACCAGTCAGCAGCCATCAACATCAAGACAAGATCCTCCACTAGCAGAGATTACAACTAGCTGAAGGCTCAGATAATTATTAGCAGTTTTTGGCCATAAAATATTTTTTAAATTAAGGTAAATGTATTTTTTCAGATGTAGTGCTACTGCAGTATAAACATAATTTTTATATTCACTGGAAAAAAATTTGCGTGAGTCATTTTATTGTGATACTCACTTTACTGCAGTAGCCTGGAACCAAACCCACAATATCACCAAAGTATGCCCCTACATATGCATATAAAATGTCTTCAGACATACTCAAGAAATTGACAGTAGCCACAAAGTCTGGAGAGTAAAACTAAGGAATGTACTTCCTCAAAATTCTTCAAATTAAATTGTCAACATGAGCACATATTGATTTTATGATTTGAAAATTAAAATTGGAAAATTTATACAATTAACTTAAAAAGTGGATCAAGGCCAGGCACAGTGGCTCACACCTGTAATCCCAGTACTTTGGGAGGCCCAGGTGGGCGGATGACCTGAGGTCAGGAGTTCGAGACCCACCTGGCCAACACGGTGAAATTCTGTCTCTACTAAAATACAAAAACCGGCTGGATGTGGTGGCGGGCGCCTGTAATCCCAGCTACTCGGGAGGCTGAGGCAGGAGAATCACTTGAACACCCAGGACAGGAGGTGGAGGTTGCAGTGAGGTGAGATGGCACCCCCGCACTCCAGAGCCTAGGCAACAGAGACAGACTCCATCTCAAAAAAAAAAAAAAAGAAAAAAAAAGAAAGAAAAAGAAAAGAAAAAAGTGGATCAAAAAATTAGGTAGAAATATAGTGAAATATTTTTAAAATTGTACTTGAGAATGTACACCAGCAAATTACCAATTATTCTTATATTTCTTCTGTAATGATTTGTTTCTAAATACAAGTATGATTTCATAAGTCAAGAAGAATTAAAATGGAGTAAAATTCAGGATAAGATTTGTTAGTGAAAGAAGCCAAACTCAAAAGGCTATATACTGTATAATTTAAATTAAATAGCATTCTGGTGAGAGGAATGGAGCAAGATGGCAGAATAGAAGTCTCCACTGATTGTCTTCCCCACAACGACACCAATGTAACAATTATCTATACACAGCCAAGCACCTTCATAAGAACCAAAAATCAGGTGAACACTCACAGTACCTGGTTTTACTTCATAGCGCTGAAAGAAGCACTGAAGAGGTAGGAAAAACAGGCTTGAATCACTGACACCACCTCTTCCCCATCACCAAGCAGCAGTGGCGTAGTGCTGACAGTGTTTCTGTGTCCTGGGGAGAAGGCGAGCCAGCAATGAACTCAGTGCTGCCCTTGTTACAGCAGAAAGCAAAACTGGACCAAACTCAGCTGACACCTGCTCATGGAGGGGGCATTTAAATCAGCCCTAGCCAGGGGGGGAATCACCAATCCCAGCAGTTGGAACTAGCTCCCATAAGCTTCACCGCCACAGGCTAAAGTGCTCTAGGGCTCCAACTAAACTTGAAAGGCAGTCTAGGCAATAAGGACTGTAATACCTAGGTGAGCTCTAGTGCTGAACTGGGTCCAGAGACAGTGGACTAGGGGTCCACATGACCTACTAAGACACCAGCCAGGGCAACTAAGGGAGTGCTGGCATCAACCCTCCCCTAATGCCAGGCTGCACAGCTCATGGCTTCAAAAGAGACCTCTTCCTTCCACTTGAGGAAGAGAGATGGAAGAGTGGGGAGGACTTTGTCTTGCATCTTGGATACCAGCTGAGCCACATCAGGATAAGGTACCAGTCAGAGTCATGAAATCCTCTTTCCAGGCCCCAGCTCCCAGACAACATTTCTAGACACACTCTGGGCCACGAGGCTATCCACTGCCTTGAATGGAAGGACCCAGTCATGGCAAAATTCATCACCTGCTAACTGAAGAGCCCTTGGCCCCTGAATACCCAGCAGCAATACCCAAGTACTGTGTCAAGGGCTTTGAATGAGACTCAGACTTGCTAGCTTCAGATGAGACACAGCAAATTTCCAGCTGTGGTGGCTGTGGGGTGAGACCCTTTCTGCTTGAGAAAAGTGGAGAAAAAAGTTAAGGGACTTTGTCTTGCACCTTAGGTAGCACCTTGGCCAGAGGTGGGTAGAGCAAAAAGAGGGCTCTTGGGGTCCACAATTCTAAGATTTGGCTCTGGTACAGCATTTCCGGACCTGCCCTGGGCCATACAGGAGCCCATTCCTCTGAAGGGTGAGTCTCAGATCAGGCAGTATTCACCATAAGCTGACTGAAGAGTCCTTAGCCCTAAGGGAACATGAGCAATAGTCTGGTAGTACTCCTCATGGGCCTGAGGTGGTGGTGGCCACAAAGTGAGGCTTCTCTGCCATTGAAAAGAAGAGGGAAGAGTGGGAAGGACTGTGTCTTATGGTTTAAAAGTCAGCTCAGCTGCAGTACAATGGAGCATCAGGTACACATCTAAGGTTTTTGACTCTAGTCCCTGGCCCCCAGTTGGCACCTCTGGACTTGCCCAGGCCCTGGGGAAGGATATAAGCCTGGCTGGCTTTGCCACTTGATGATTGTAGAGCCTCAGGGCATTGAGCAAACATAGGCAGTAGTCAGGGAGTGGTTGCAACAGGTTTTGGGAGAAACCCAGTGCAGTCCTAAGGGTGGTAGCTATAGACGTGTTTTTGTCACTCCACTCCCAGCTCCAGGAGGCTTGTAACAGAGGGAGAGAATTGATTTGTTTGGTAGAAAGTAAGTGAAGAGAACAAGAGTCTCTGTCTAGTAATCCAGGGAATTCTTCAGGATCTTGCCCAAGACCATAAAGGCAGTACCTCTGCTAATCTGCAAGAAACCACAGTGTTACTGGTCTTGAGGTTCTTCCTAAGGCAGATACAGCTTAGATCACAACACCCAAGTCCTTTCAAATATCTGGAAAGCTTTCCAAGGAAGATGGGTACAAATAAATCCAACTGCAAAGACCTAAATAATACCTAACTTTTCAATACCCAGACACAGACAAACATCTATAAGCATCAAGACTATCCAGGAAAACATGACCTCACCAAAGAAACTAAGTAAGGCACCAGGGACCAATCCTGGAGAGGCAGAGATATGCAATCTTTCAGACAGATAATTCAAAATAGTTGTTTTAAGGACACTAAAAGAAATTCAAGATAATACAACAAAGGAATTCATAATCCTATCAGATAAATTTAACAAAGAAATTGAAATAATTTTTAAAAATCAATCAGAAATTCTGGAGCTGAAAAAATGCAATTGATGTACTGAAGAATGCATCAGAGTCTTTTAAAAGAAGAATTGATCAAGCAGAAGGAATTAGTGAGCCTGAAGACAAACTATTTGAAAATACACAGTCAGAGGAGACAAAAAAAGAATGAAAAACAATAAAGCATGCCTACAGGATCTAGAAAATAGCCTCAAAGGGCAAATCTAGGAATTATTGGCCTTAAAGAGAAGATAAAGAGATAGGGGAGGGGTAGAAAGTTTATTCAAATGAATAATAACAGAGAACTTCTGAAACCTAGAGTTAAATATCAGTATCCAAAGACAAGAAGGTTACTGAACACTAAGCAGATATAACCCAAAGACTACCTCAAGGCATTTTAAAATCAGACTTCCAAAGATTAAGGGTAAAGAGAGGATCCTAAAAGCAGCAAGAGAAAAGAAACAAATAACATACAATGGAGCTCCAATACATCCAGCAGCAGACTTTATGGTGGAAACCTTGCAGGCCAGAAGAGAGTGTCATGACATATTTAAAGTACTGAAGGACAAAAAAAATATATTTTACTCTAGAATAGTATATCTGGCAAAATTAACCTCCAAACATGAAGGATAAATACTTTCCCAGACAAACAAAAGCTGAGGGATAAGATATAAATAGTAGCAACAAAAACTTAAAAGGCCATAGTATTAATTTAAGCCATCGAGTCTTTATTAGTTTTCTTTTTGCTTGCTTGCTTGTTTGTTTATGCAAACAGTGTTAAGTTGTTATCACCTTAAAATAATAGGTTATAAGATAGTATTTGCAAGCCTCATGGTAACCTCAAACCAAAAATAAAATACAATAAATATACAAAAAATTAAAAGCAAGAAACTAAATCATATCACCAGGGAAAATCACCTTCACTAAAATGAAGACAGAAAGAAAAGAAGGAAGGAAGAGAAAACCACAAAACCAATAACAAAGTGGCATGAGTAAGTCCTTACTTATCAATAACAACGTTGAATGTCAATGGACTAAACACTCCAACCAAAAGACATACAGTGTCTGAATGGATTTAAAAAAGAAGACTCAAAGATCTGTTTCCTACAAGAAACACTCTTCACCTATAAGAACACACATAGACTGAAAATAAATGGATGAAAAAATATATTCCATGCCAATGGAAACCAAAAAAGAGCAGGAGTCACTACACATATATCAGACAAAATAGATTTCAAGACAAAGACTATAAGAAGAGACAAAGAAGATCATTATATGATGATAAAAGGGTCAATTCAGCAAGAGGATAGAACCATTGTAAATATATATGCACCTAACAGTGGAGCACCCAGATATATAAAACATATATTATCAGCGCTAAAGAGAGGAATAGGTCCCAATAAAATAATAGCTTGACTTCAACATCCCACGTTCAGCATTGGGCAGATCTTCTAGAAAGAAAATCAACAAAGAAACATCAAACTTAATCTGCACTATAGACCAGATAGATCTAATAGCTATTTACAGAGCATTTCATCCAATGGATGCAGTATACACATTCTTTGCCTCAGCACACAGATCATTCTCAAGGACAGACCATATGTCTGGCCACTAAACATGTCTTAAAACATTCCAAAAATTGAAATATTATCAAGCATCTTGTCTACAACAATGGAATAAAACTGGAAATCAATAACAGAGGAATTTTGGAAACTATAAAAATACATGGGAATTAAGCAATATGCTCTGAAAGACCAGTGGTTCAATGAAGAAATTAAGATAGATATTGAAAAATTTCTAGAAACAAGTGAAAATGGAAACACAACATGCCAAAAGCTATGGGACACAGCAAGAGCAGCAGCACTAAGAGGGAAGATTATAGCTATAAATGCCTACATCAAAAAAGAAGAAAAACTTCAAATAAATAATCTAACAATGCATCTTAAAGCACAAGAAAAGCAAGAGCAAACCAAACCAAAATTAGTAGAAAAAAAAATAATAAAGATCAGAGCAGATATAAATAAAATTGAAATTTTAAAAATTACAAAAGATGGCTGGGCACAGTGGCTCACGCCTGTAATCCCAGCACTTTGGGAGGCCGAGGTGGGCAGATCATGAGGTCAGGAGATCGAGACCATCCTGGCT
Organism: Homo sapiens; assembly: GCF_000001405.40. Classification (NCBI taxonomy): domain Eukaryota; kingdom Metazoa; phylum Chordata; class Mammalia; order Primates; family Hominidae; genus Homo; species Homo sapiens. The sequence continues at coordinate 69,141 of NW_017363813.1, read as the reverse complement.
AACACAGTGAAACTCTGTCTCTACTAAAAATACAAAAAAAAATTAGCCAGGCGTAGTGGCAGGCGCCTATAGTCCTAGCTACTCGGGAGGCTGAGGCAGAAGAATGGCGTGAACCTGGGAGGCGTAGCTTGCAGTGAGCCAAGATCACGCCACTGCACTCCAACCTGGGCAACAGAGTGAGACTCCGTCTCAAAAAAAAAAAATTACAAAAGATCAATGACACAAAAAGTTGTTTAACCTTTAGTCAGACTAAGAAAAAAACAGAGAAGATCCAAGTAAGTAAAATCTGAGATGAAAGGGGAGACTTTACAACTGACACCACAGAAATTCCAAGGGTCATTAGAGGCTGCTATGTGCAACTATATGCCAATAAATTGGAAAATCTAGAAGAAATTGACAAATTCCTAGACACATACAGCCTACCAAGAATGAAACATGAATAAATCTAAACTCTGACCAGACCAAGAACAAGTAATGAGATTGAAGCCATAATAAAAAGTCTCCCAGTAAAGAAAAGCTCAGGACCCAATGGCTTCACTGCTGAATTCTGCCAACCATCTAAAGAAGAACTAATACCAATCCTACTCAAACTATTCTGAAAAATAGAAGAGGAAAGAATACTTCCAAACTCATTCTATAAGGCCAGTATTACTCTGACACCGAAACTAGAAAAAGACACACCAAAAATCCAAACTACAGGCCAATATCCCTGATGAACATTAATGCAAAAATCCTCAACAAAATACTAGCAAACTGAATTTAACAACACTTAAAAAGATCATTCATCATGACCAAGTGGGATATATCCCTCGGATGTAACATATGCAAATCAATCAATGTGATATAGCATATCAACAGAACGAAGGACAAAAACCATATGATCATTTCAACTGATCCTGAAAAAGCATTTGATAAAGTTCAACATCCCTTCATGATAAAAGCCTTCAAAAAGTTTGTATAGAAGGAACATGCCTCAACAGATTAAAAGCCATATTTAACAGACCCACAGCTAGTATCATACTGAATGGGGAAATACTGGAAGCCTTTCCTCTGAAATCTGGAACACAACAAAGATAAGGATGCCCACTTTCACCACTGTTATTCAACATAGTACTGGAAGTCCTATCTACAGCAATCAAGCAAGAGAAAGATATAAAAGGCATCCAAATTGAAAAGGAAGAAGTCAAATTACTCTTGTTTGAAAATGATATAATCTTATATTTGGAAAAACCTAAAGACTCCACCAAAAAATTATCAGAACTGATAAATTCAGTAAAGTTGCAGGATACAAAATCCACATTAAAAAATCGGTAGCATTTCTATATACCCACAGTGAATAATCTGAAAAAGATATTTAAAAAGTAATCCCATTTACAATAGCCACAAATAAAATTAAATACCTAGAAATTATCCAAAGAAGTGAAAGATCTCTATAATGAAAACTATCAAACACCAATGAAAGAAATTGAAGAGAACACCAAAGAACATGAAAAGATATTTCATGTTCATGGATTGGAAGAATCAATATTGTTAAAATGTCTATACTACCCAAAACAATCTATAGATTCAATGCAATTCCTATTAAAATACCAATGTTATTCTTCACAGAAATAGAAAAAAACTATCCTAAAATTTATACGGAACAACAAAAGACCCAGAATAGTCAAAGCTATCCTAAGCAAAAAGAACAAAACTGGAAAAATCATATTACCTGACTTCAAATTGCACTACAGATCTCTAATAGCCAAACAGCATGGTAGTGGAATAAAAACAAACACACAGACCAATGGAGCAGAATAGAGAACCCAGAAACAAATCCACACACCTACAGTGAACTCATTTTCGATGAAGTTCACTTGCACTGCTATAAGGAAATACCTGAGACTGGGTATCTTATAAAGAAAAGAGATTTAATTGGCTTACAATTCTTCAGGCTGTACAGGAAGCATGGCAGCCACTGCTTCTGGGGAGGCCTGAGGGAACTTCTACTCGTAGTGGAGGGCAAAGTGGGAGCAAGCATTGTACATGGCAGGAGCAGGACTGAGAGAGAGAGGGAAAGTGCCATATGCTTTTAAACAACAAGATCTTGTGAAAACTCACTCAGTATACAGTACCAAGGGAGATGGTGCTAAATCATTCATGAGAACTTGGCCCCCATGATCCAATCACCTCCTGCTACACTAGGTCCCACCTCTAACACTGGGGATTTCAATTTGACATGAGATTTGGGCAGGAACACAGATCCAAACCATATCGGGTACCATGTACATGCAATTGGGAAAAAGACAGTCTCTTCAATAAATAGTGCTAAGAAAACTGGATACCCATAGGCAGAAGAACGAAACTAGACCCCTATCTCTCATCATATAGAAACATCAAATCAAAATGGATTAAGGAATTAAATCTAAGACCTCAAACAATGAAACTACTACAAGAAAGTGTTAGATAAACTCTCCAGGACATCAGTCTGCACAAAGATTTCTTGAGCAACACCCCACAGGTACAGGCAACCAAAGCAAAAATGGACAAATGGGATCACATCAAGTTAAAAAAAAAGCTCCTGTGCAGCAAAGGATACAATCAACAAACTGAAGAGACAACCCACACAATGGGAGAAAACATTTGCAAACTACCCATCTGATGTGGTTTGGATTTATGTCCCCACCCAAATCTCGTGTTGAATTGTAATCCCCAATGTTGGAGGTGGGGCCTAGTGGGAGGTTACTGGATCACGGGGGCAGATATCCCACTTTGCTGCTGTTCTCATGATGGAATTCTCACAAGATCAGATTGCTTAAAAGTCTGTAGCACCTCCCCGCTCTCTCTTCCTTCAGCTGTGACCATGTGAAGATGTGTCTGCTTCCCCTTCACCTTCTGCCATGATTGTAAGTTTCCTGAGGCCTCCCCAGCCATGCTTCCTGGGCAGCCTGCAGAAGCATGAGCCAGTTAAACCTCTTTTCTTTATAAATAACCCAGTCTCAGGTATTTCTTTATAGCAGTGCAAGAACGGACTAATACACCAACTGACAAGGGATAAATAACCAGAACATATAAGGAGTTCAAGTAACTCTATAGGAAAAAATCTAGTAATCCAATTAAAAATAGGCAAAAGATTTAAATATACATTTCTCACAAGAAGGCATACAGATGGCAACAGACATATAAAAAGTGCTCACCATCATTGATCATCAGAGAAGTACAAATCAAAACTACAATGAGATATCATCTCATCCCAGATTAAATGGCTTATATTCAAAAGACAGGCAATAGCAAATGCTGGCAAGGATGTGGATAAAAGGGAACCATTGTACACCTTTTGTGGGAATGTAAATTAGTACAACCACTATGGAGAACTATTTGGAGGTTCCTCACAAAACTAAAAATAGAGCTACCATATGATCCAGCATTCCACTGAGTACATACTCAAAAGAAAGAAAATCAGCAGATCAAAGAGATACCCGAGTTCCCATATTTGTTGCAGCACTGTTCACAATGGCCAAGATTTAGAAGCATCCTAAGGGTCCATCAACAGATTAATGGATAAAGAAAATGTGATAGTTATACGAGGGTGGGGAGGAGTTGGGGGATGATTAATGGGTAAGAAAAAATAGTTCAAATGAATGAATAAGGCCTAGTATTTGATAGCCCATCGGGGTGACTCTAGTCAATAAAAATTTAACTGTACATTTAAAAATAACTAAAAGAGTACAATTGGATTGTTTGTAACACAATGGATAATGCTTGAGGGGATGGATGCCCTATTTTCCATGGTGTGATTATTAGGCACTCCAAGTCTGTATCAAAATATCTCATATACCCCATAAATATACCTATTATGTACTCAGAAAAAAATTAAAAATAAGTAAATAATAAACAGTAAATAGCATTTTGAAACAGACAAAACTATAGGGAGAGAAAATAGCTCAGTAGTAATATCAGGAGTTAGAGATGGGGTAGAGTTTGACTACAAAGGACAACATAAGGCCATTTTACAGTAATAAAAATATTCTGTGTCTTGATTGTCGCAGTACTTATATCACTCACGTCAATATAAAATGAAAATATAATCAAAATAATCAACAAAAACAAAACTGGCTAGATTGATCAAGAAAGAAAAAAGAGAAGACATAAAATAAATCTAAGGAATAAAAATGAAGATGTAACTTCAGATACTTCTGATACCAAAAGAAAATTAGAGAATATTAAAAAGAGTATCAATACACTTGAAAACTTAAATGAAATGTACAAATTCCTAGAAAAATATAAACCAACAAAACTGACTCAAAAGAAAAAACCCAGAGAACTTCAATAGTCTTAAAAGTATGAAGTAAATTGAATAGAAACTTTTAAATCTTCCCATAGGCTGGGTGTGATGGTATACTCCCACAGCCTCAGTTACTTGGGAGGCTGAGGCAGGAGATTCCCTTGAGACCAGGAGTTTGAGGCTGTATTGTGCTATGACTGTGTCTGTACATAGCCACTGCATTCCAGCCTGGGCAACATAGCAAGACTCTGTCTCTAAAAATTTACCCCAAAAAATCTTCCCACGAAACACATCAGGCCTATGTGGATTTTTTTAGTGATTTATAGCAAACATTAAAGAACAAACATTTTAAAACTATGCAAGGTATCCTGAAGTATGAAAAAGAGAGAGCATTTCCCAACTCATTTGATGAGGCCAGCATAATTGCACAGTAAAAACTGACAAAGATAATGTGAGAAACAAAAATTAAAACCCAATTTAAATCATAAATACAGATACAAAAATCCTAAACAAAATATAAGCAAACTAAATTTAAAAACATAGTAGGAAAAGATGATAACATATGGCCAAATTAATTTCATTTCAGGAATGAGAGGTTGGCTTAACAATAGAAACCAAGTATTACAATTAACTACCATATATATATATATATATATATATATATATATATATATATATATATATATATATATATATATATATTTTTAGACGGAGTCTCGCTCTTTCGCCCAGGCGGGACTGCAGTGGCACTATCTCAGCTCACTGCAAGCTCTGCCTACAATCTTAATTTAAAGAATAAATATAATACAATCATCTTAAAAAAATACAGAAAAACATGTTGTATAAAATTCAACATGAATTCCTGATAAACATTCTTATCAAACTAGTAATACAAAGACATTTCCTTTTCTGATAAATGGCATATACTAAAAACCTACTGCAAATGTTATGTTATATTTAAATGGTGAAATGTTGAAAAAATTCCCTTTAAATTCAGGAGAGAAAAAAAAATACAGGGCACTTACCATCAACTTTTGTATTTAATCTTGTACTGGAGGTTTTAACCAATACAATAGAAGGAAGTTGAAGAGTATAGATGGGATATGATAAAACAAAATAGTCATTATTCACAGTTGATATGATGTCTACGTAGTCTTTCGCAGAGAATCTACACAAAAATACAAGCCAATTAAAGAGCTGAACAATTTTGACAAAAATGCAATATATAAAACTAAAACATTAGTACAATCAGAATGTATAATTTTAAAGAAACATAACTTATAATAGCATAAAACACATGAGGTGTTAGTTGGACACAGTGGTATGTACCTGTAGTTTCAGCTACTCAGGAGGCAGAGGTGGATCAATCGCTTGAGCCCAGGAGTTCAAGGCCAGCCTGGGCAACATAGTGAGACTCCGTCTATGAGACAAAAAAAAAGAGATAATCTACTAAAGATGTGCAAAGCTGAATGGGGAGAATGATACATCTGTGAAATATATTCAAAAAGACAAAAATAAAGGAGTACTTAATATGCTATGTTGATTTGTCAGAAAATTCAATTTTATAGAGATGTCAATTCTTCCCTAATCTGTAGAGTCAAATTAATTTTAACAAAAATTGTAATAGGCTTTTATTTTATTACTTTTAAAAATTTTGTAGGTACATAGTAAGTATGTATATTTATGGGGTACATGAAATGCTTTGATGCAGGCTTGCAATGTCAAATAAGCACATCATGGAAAATGGAGTATCCACCCCCTCAAGAATTTATCCTTTGAGTTACAAACAATTCAATTTCATCCTTAGGTTACTTTAGGTTACACCATACATTAAAATCAATTTCAGTTCAAGCACATCTTTAAATATGAAAAGCAGAGATATAAAGCACTTAGAAGATAATTTGAGAGTATAGCTTTATGAACTTGAAGTAAGAAAAAATTTATTTAAGAAAAAAAACACAAAATCACATAACATGATTACAGACTTAGTTCCATTAAAATTAAGAACTTTTGCTCACCAAAATATATAATAAAGAGAATAAAAGGAGAGGACAGTGTTTGGAAATCTTGTAACATATACGATTGACAAAGTGTCAGTATTCACACTATAAAATGAACTACAAATCAATTTTTAAAAGACAACACAACAGAAGAATGGGCGAAACACTTAGGCACTTCAGAAAAGAAAAAATACGAATGGTCCACAGAAATGTGAAAAGATGCTCAATCTCATTAGTAATCGGGTACATGTACATTAAAACCAGATTGAGATACAATTTTATTCACACAAGTTAGACTAATTTAAGAAATGTGATAATGTCTTTCATGTGCGTCCGTGTAAAGAGACCACCAAACAGGCTTTGTGTGAGCAATAAAGTTTTTAATCACCTGGGTGCAGGCAGGCTGAGTCCGAAAAGAGAGTCAGGGAAGGGAGATAAGGGTGGGGCTGTTTTATAGGATTTGGGTAAATAAAGGAAAATTACAGTCAAAGGGGATTGTTCTCTGGCGGGCAGAGTGGGGGTCACAAGGTGCTCAGTGGGGGAGCTTTTGAGCCAGGATGAGCCAGGGAAAGGACTTTCACAAGGTAATGTCATCACTTAAGGTAAGGACCGGCCATTTTCACTTCTTTTGTGGTGGAATGTCATCAGTTAAGGTGGGGCAGGGCATATTCACTTCTTTTGTGATTCTTCAGTTACTTCAGGCCATCTGGGCGTATACGTGCAAGTCACAGGGGTTGCGATGGCTTGGCTTGGGCTCAGAGGCCTGACATTCCTGCCTTCTTATATTAATAAGAAAAATAAAACAAAATAGTTTTGAAGTGTTGGGGTGGTGAAAATTTTTTGGGGGGTGGTATGGAGAGAGAGAATGGGCGAAGTTTCTCAGGGCTGCTTCAAGCGGGATTAGGGGCGGCGTGGGAACCTAGAGTGGGAGAGATTAAGCTGAAGGGAGATTTTGTGGTAAGGGGTGATATTGTGGGGTTGTTAGAAGAAACATTTGTCATGTAGAATTATTGGTGATGACCTGGATACGGTTTTGTATGAATTGAAAAACTAAATGGAATAACAGAAGGAGAAAAACAGGTATAAAAGGTCTAAGAATTGGGACGACCCAAGATACCTGATTAGAGAGTGCTTAAGGAGATTCAGCATAGTCCTGCCAGCAAAGATTATTTATTTACTTCAAGAGTTAAGAGTGGCAGTTTGGGGATAGCACCAAGAGATATCAGCTGTGATGGCTTGGAGAAACAGTGGAAACCGGCAGTGTAAACAAGAGCAGGGCATGTATGAGTAGTTGAGAATGGTGAATAGCAGTATGACTAGACAGAAGATAGTAGGGATGACAAGTTTTTTTGGGGCACAGTCTAAGTTGGTCTGGTGTCTGGAATGAGACTGGGGCCTAATAAAAAGGAGCGTCTATAGAGGAGCTCAAATGGGCTATACCTTGTAGCATTCTGAGGACAGGTCTGACTTCTGAGAAGGGAAAGTGGTAAAAGTATTGTCCAGTCCTTTTTAAGTTGGTGGCTGAGCTTGGTGAGGTGTGTTTTTAAAAGACCTTTAGTCCGTTCTACTTTTCCTGAAGACGGAGGACCATAAGGGATATAAAGGTTTCACTGAATACTAAGAGCCTGAGAAACTGCTTGGCTGATTCGACTAATAAAGGCTCGTCTGTTATCAGACTGTATAGAGGTGGGAAGGCTAAACTGAGGAATTATGTCTGATGGAAGGGAACAAATGACTGCGGTGGCCTTCTCAGACCCTGTAGGAAAGGCCTGTACCTATCCAGTGAAAGTGTCTACCTAAACTAAGAGTTATTTTACTTATCTGACTCGGGGCATGTTGAGTAAAGCTAATTTGCCAGTCCTGGGTAGGGGCAAATCCTTGAGCTTGATGTGTAGGGAAGGGAGGGGGCCTGAATAATCCCTGAGGAGTAGTAGAATAGCAGATGGAACACTGAGAAGTTATTTCCTTGAGGATAGATTTCCACGATGGAAAGGAAATGAGAGGTTCTAAGGGGCGGGCTAGTGGCTTGTACTATAGCATAGCCTGCCTTTGCTGGTGTATAGCAATTAGGCCTGGTGGAACCGCCATCAATAAATCAAGTGTGATCAGGGTGAGGAACAGGAAAGAAGGAAATATGGGGAAATGGGGTGAATGCCAGGTGGATCAGAAAGATACAGTCATGGGGGTCAGGTGTGGTATCAGGAATAATGTGGGAGGCCGGATTGAAGTCCAGGCTGGGAACAATGGTAATTGTGGGACTTAACAAAGAGTGAGTACAGCTGAAGGAGCCGGGGAGCAGAAAGTATATGCGTCAGATATGAGGAAGAAAATAGATTTTGGAAGTTATGAGAAATGTAGAGAGTGAGTTGAGCGTAGTTTGTGATTTTCAGGGCCTCTAAAAGTATTAAAGCAGCGGCAGCCGCTGCACACAGACATGAGGGCTAGGCTAAAACAGTAAGGTCAAGTTTTTTGCAAAGAAAGGCTACAGGGTGCCGTCCTGGCTCTTGTGTAAGAATTCTGACCACACTAACCATGCCTAGGAAGGAAAGGAGTTGTTGTTTTGTAAGGGATTGAGGTTTGAGAGATTAATCGGACACGATCAGCAGGGAAAACACTTGTGTTTTTATGAGAATTATGCTGAGATAGGTAACAGATAAGGAAGAAATTTGGGCTTGACTGAAGTAATGGGGGGCTGTCTGTGAAGCTTTGTGGCAGTACAGCCCAGGTAATTTGCTGAGCCTGATGGGTGTCAGGGTCAGTCTAGTGAAAGCAAAGAGAGGCTGGGATGACAGATGCAAAGGAATAGTGAAGAAAGCATGTTTGAGATCCAGAACAGAATAATGGATTGTGGAGGGAGGTATTGAGGATAGGATAGTATATGGGTTTGGCACCATGTGGTGGATAGGCAAAAGAATTTGGTTGATAAGGCATAGATCCTGAACTAACTTGTAAGGCTTGTCTGGTTTTAGGACAGGTAAAATGGGGGAATTGTAAGGAGAGTTTATAGGCTTTAAAAGGCCATGCTGTAGCAGGCAAGTGATAACAGGCTTTAATCCTTTCAAAGCATGCTGTGGGATGGGATATTGGCATTGATCAGGGTAAGGGTGATTAGGTTTTAATGAGATGGTAAGGGGTGCATGATCGGTTGCCAAGGAGGGAGTAGAGGTATCTTATACTTGTGGGTTAAAGTGGGGGAATACAAGAGGAGGATGCAAAGGAGGCTTTGGATTGGGAAGAAGGGCAGCAATGAGATGTAGCTGTAATCCAGGAATAGTCAGGGAAGCAGATAATTTAGTTAAAGTGTCTCGGCCTAATAAGGGAACTGGGCAGGTGGGGATAACTAAAAGGAGTGCTTAAAAGAGTATTGTCTAAATTGTACCAGAGTTGGGGAGTTCTAAGAGGTTTAGAAGCCTGGCTGTCAATACCCATAACAGTTATGGAGGCAAAGGAAACAGGCCCTTGAAAATAAGGTAATGTGGAGTGGGTAACCTCCGTATTGATTAAGAAGGGGACGGGCTTACCTTCCACTGTGAGAGTTACCCGAAGCTCGGCGTCTGTGATGGTCTAGGGCGATTCCAAGGCGATCGGGCAGTGTCAGTCTTCAGCCGCTAAGCCAAGAAGATCTGGGAAGGAGTCAGAGAGCCTTAGGCCAGAGTTCCAGGGGCTCTGGGAGTGGCTGCCAGGTGAGTTGGACAGTCCGATTTCCAGTGGGATCCCGCACAGATGGGATGCGGCTTAGGAGGAATCCTGGGCTGCAGGCATTCCTTGGCCTGGGGGCCAGATTTCTGGCACTTGTAGCAAGCTCCTGGGGGAGAAGGTTCTGGAGGAACGCCTGGCCACTGCGGTTCAGGCATTTGGAAGTTCTTGTGTGCTGGAGATATGGCTGGGGTTTGTCTCACAGTGGAGGCAAGGAATTGCAACTTTTTTCTATTATTGTACACCTTGAAGGTGAGGTTAATTAAATCCTGTTGTGGGGTTTGAGGGCCAGAATTTAATTTTTGGTGTTATATTTAATGTTGGGAGCAGATTGGGTAATAAAATGTATATTGAGAATAAGACAGCCTTTTGACCTTTTAGGGTCTAGGGCTGTAAAGCGTTTCAGGGTTGCTGCCAAACGAGTCATGAACTGGGCTGGATTTTTATATTTGATGAAGAAGAGCCTAAACGCTATCTGATCTGGGATAAAGAAAAAGGAGCATTAACCTTGACTATGCCTTTAGCTCCAGCCACCTTTTTAAGAGTAAATTGCTGGGCAGGTGGGGGAGGGCTAGCCACGGAATGAAACTGTAAGCTGGACCAGGTGTGACGAGGGGAGGTGATGAAAGGATTATAGGGTGGAGGAGCAGAGGCTGAGGAAGAATTGGGACCTAGCTCAGCCTGGCGAGAAGCAGCCTGGGGAGGAGGGGAGAGGTCAGATGGGTCTGTAGAAAGGGAAGATTAGAAAGACTCAGCAACACTTGGGGTTGGGACTGAGGGGACAGGTGGGAGGGAAAGAAGGAAGATTTGGGATGAGTTGCACTGGGAACAGAGACTAGAGAGGGACTCATGTGTAAAAGAATGCCTGGAAGTCAGGCACCTCAGACCATTTGCCCATTTTATGACAAGAATTATTTAGATCGTGTAGGATGGAAAAATTGAAAGTGCCATTTTCCGGCTATTTGGAACTACTGTCGAGTTTGTATTGAGGTCAAGCAGCATTGCAGAAGAAAATAAGATGCTTAGATTTTAGGTCAGGTGAGAGTTGAAGAGGTTTTAAGTTCTTAAGAACACAGGCTAAGGGAGAAGAAGGAGGAATGGAAGGTGGAAGCTTGCCCATAGTGAAGGAGGCAAGCCCAGAGAAAAGAGTAGAGACACGGAGAAGGGGTGGAGGGTTGTTGCCCTCCAGAAAAGCAGAGAAGGGGTCGGGGTGCAGAGATATGAGGTCAGGGCATGGAAATAAGGGATCAGGGTGCAGAGATATAAGAGGTTGGGGTGCGGAAATAAGGGATCAGGGTGCAGAGATATAAGAGTTCGGGGGCGGAAATAAGGGATTGGGGCACAGAGATAAGAGGGTGGGGTGTGGAAATAAGGGATTGGGGTGCAGAGATACGAGGTTGGGGTACTTGACCCTCCCCCAGAAAAGCGGGACTTGCCACTAAGGGTGATGGAGAAGGGGTTGGGGGTTTCTTGCCCCCCAGAAAGGCGGAGAAGGGGTAGAGACACGGAGAGAAGGGATTGGGGTACTTGCCTCTTCCCCAGAAAAGCAGGACTTGCCACTAAGGGTGAAGGACCAAGGCAGGCATCCCCACATGGTCTGACACCTCTGAAACCTGGGTGAATAATCAGAGAGGTGTCCCTGCAATGATTGAACACCAAGGGAAGGCTGCCCTCCCTAGTCCATGACCGGTGCTGGAGTTTTGGGTCCACGGATAAAACATGTCTCCTTTGTCTCTACCAGAAAATGAAAGGAATTGAAATTAAGAGAAGGGAGAGATTGAAGTGTGGTGCCAAGATTGAAAGGAGAAAGAGGTTGAGGGATAGTGAGGGAGGCTGGAGAAGAGAGTAAAAAGAGGCCGCTTACCGGATATGAAATTGGTGAGATGTTTCTTGGGCTGGTCGTCTGAGGACCTGAGGTCGTAGGTGGATCTTTCTCACAGAGCAAAGAGCAGGAGGACAGGGGATTGATCTCCCAAGGGAGGTCCCCCAATCCGAGTCACGGCACAAAATTTCATGCGCGTCCGTGTAAAGAGACCACCAAACAGGCTTTGTGTGAGCAATAAAGCTTTTAATCACCTGGGTGCAGGCAGGCTGAGTCTGAAAAAAGTCAGCGAAGGGAGATAAGGATGGGGCCGTTTTATAGGATTTGGGTAAATAAAGGAAAATTACAGTCAAAGGGGGTTGTTCTCTGGTGGGCAGAGTGGGGGTCACAAAGTGCTCAGTGGGGGAGCTTTTGAGCCAGGATGAGCCAGGAAAAGGACTTTTACAAGGTAATGTCATCACTTAAGGCAAGGACCAGCCATTTTCACTTCTTTTGTGGTGGAATATCATCAGTTAAGGCAAGGACCAGCCATTTATGCTTCCTTTGTGGTGGAATGTCATCAGTTAAGGTGGGGCAGGGCATATTCACTTCTTTTGTGATTCTTCAGTTACTTCAGGCCATCTGGGCGTATATGTGCAAGTCACAGGGGATGCGATGGCTTGGCTTGGGCTCAGAGGCCTGACAATGTCTAATGTTGGAGAGAGGATGGAGTAACAGAAATGCTCACACACTACTGGGGGAGTGTGAATTTGTACAACCATGTTGGAAGACTATTTAGCTTTACCTAGTAGAGGTGAACTTTTGTATGTCTTATGACCCAGGAATTTCACTTCAATTTATGCCCTAGAAAAATTATTGCACCTGTGTGTCTGTAGGCAAAGATATTCACAGTAGCCTCATGTATAATAATGAAAAATTGGAACTAACCTAAAAGTTCATTAATAAAAGAATGACTAAATAAATTTTGCTGTATTCACATAATGGAATATACACATAAGTGAAATAAACTACAGTCACATGCCTCAATATGGAGAACCCCAGAAGTGTTAAATTTAGTTAAATAAGTATCTTACAGAAGGATGTACAACTGCATACATTATACTTGCATAAAGAATTCCATTAATATAAATTTCAAAACATGATCACTACGCATTGCATACAGGTATCAAAATATCACATGTACCTCCAAAATATGTACAACTATTATATATCAATTTAAAAATTACATTAAAACATGTAAAACTAATTAACATATTATCTAAAAATACAAACACATGATTAAACTATCACAAAAGAAGGGAAATTAAGCACAGGAAAAGATGCTCAGTATCATTAGTCATTAGGGAAATGTAAATGAAAACCACAGTGAGTCACCATTTCATACCCACTAGGATGGCTATAATCAAAAAGACAGATAATACAAAGGGTTGATAAGGATGTGGAGAAACTGGAACCCTCATACTTCTACTGGAAATGTAAAATGCTGTCATCACTTTGGAAAACAGTCTGGCAAAGTGTGAAACACTCTGAAAGACAGTTACTCAAAAGTTTAAATACAGAGTTACCATATAACCCAGCAATTCCACTCCAAGGTATTGAAATACTCCAAAAGAACTGAAAATGTAAGACTACACAAACTTGTACTTGAATGTTCATAACAGCATTATTCATAATAGTCAAAAATGTAAACAACCTAAATGTCCATCAACAGACAAATGAACAAATAAAATGTGATGTATTCACACAATGGAATATTACTCAGTAATAAAAAGGAATGGCATATTGATACAGTCTGCAACATAGATGACCCTTGAAAACATGTTAAGTGAAGGAGCCAGACACAAAAGACCACATATTCTATAATTTTATTTCTATGAAATACCCCAAATAGGAAATCTAAATAGAAATAAAATTGATTAGTGATTGCCTAGGGTGGGAGTTAGGGGAAAGGGGAGAATGAATATAACTGCTAAGAAGTACAGGGTTTCTTTAGGGGATAATGAAAATGTTTTAAAATGTATTGTAGTGATGGTTGTACAACTCTGTTAATGTACAAAAAACATTAATTATATACTTTAAATGGGTCCATTGTATGATATGTGAATGATATTGCAAAAAAAGCTGTTATAAAAGATAAAATAAGGGCATGGGAGTACAAACAAAAATTTATAATAATGGTTACCTTTGAGAGGGAGAGAATGGAATAGAATTAGGGAGGAACCCACAGAACATTTCACAGTAAGATGCTTTTTATTAAACTAGATGATGGCACACATTGGTATGCTATATCATAATCTAATAACATAGACATATGTTATTAAATAATTAAAATTATTTTAATGGCTAAGAAGCATATGAAAAAGTTTAACCCCTCAAATATTAATAAGACAACAATCACATTGTTATTTTTAAACCTGTGAAATTACTAAGTGTTTGCATTTGTGTGGTGAAACACATGATCTTATACACTGCTGGTGGGGGGGGTGTTGGACATTGGTAGAAGCTGTCTGGGGAACAAATCTCACAACATGTACCATGAACCTTAAAATATGCATACTCTTTCATCTGGCATTTCTATTTCTGGGAGTATATTTATATCCTTCTCCCTCTGAATCTGGGAAGGCCCCGTGACTTGCTTTGACTGACAAGGTGAAGCAGAAGTAAGGCACTGGGACTTCCAGGCCTAGGCCTTAAGAGGACTGTCTGGGAATTTCCACTCTCTACATCCTGGAAGCTGGTCACCACGCTATAAATAAGCTCAGGCTACACTGCGGAATGATGAAAAGCCACACGGAGAGAGGCCCAGGAGGAGAAGAGACTGTCTTGGATGGGACAGCCCCAGCCACTCATCAGCTGAATGCAGCTCCATGAGCAACCTCAACTATACCACAAGGAGCAGAACTTCCCAGCTGAGCCCAGCCAGCCCACAGAATAGTGAGAAATGAATCATTGTCTTTGTTTTAAGCCACTAAGTTTGGGGGTGATTTGCAATGCAACAACAGAGCTAAACAATATCCTAAAGACATAATGAGAGATGTGAACAAATATTTATGGACAAGGCTGCACATAAGTGTTACAGGCAATAATAAAAAATTAGAATGTATCTAAATGCCTGTGTTGGCATCTATTGTTTCTTTGTCTACTCAGCATCATTTCTATTTTGTAACAGAATCCAGAATTTAAGAAAACCTCCCTCCTCATTTTCAGTCAATGTGGTTCCAATGAGGTTTTTCCCTACCCAGGAGTGAACATATGACTCAGACTTGGCAAAAGACCCCTTGGGGTTAGTTCAAGGATGGGCCATGACTCACGCAATGTGGTCACAATCAGAGTGAATCCAAGACTTGCTCAGGAGTTGTAGGAAAGTGTTCTTTCTTTTTAGACTGTTCGTAGCCAGAATGATTGAAGATGAGAGTTTCTAAGGTTGAGAATTAAGTGAACACCACAGAAGGTAGAACTGGGGGATGCAGAGAACCATGTCTACATGACATTTTTTAGTCCCTACATCAAGCTATACCCTGGACTTTCGGGTATTTAAGCCAGTATGAGTCCTTTGGCTTAATCCAGTTAAGTTGGGTTTTCTGTCTCTTGCAATCAAGATTCCTAACCAGTATAAGGTCTGTCTAAGTCAGGGAAAGTTTGTTTGCAAAGGAAAAGACATTCACCCAAACTAATTCCAGAAAACCAGGGAAAGTAAAGGAAGCAGAGATTCTTATGGAATTCACGAGAATTAGAAATTTAACAAACTGCAAATCTCTCCATTTTTTGTAGTTTCTATTTTAAATGTGTCTGCATCCTTTTTTTCTGCTTTATAGCTGGTTCTTCTGTCCTTTTAATACAGAAATTATCATAATAATCTCAGTTATTATGATAACCAGATGTTGTAAACCAGATGGTTCATAAAGTCAAAAAAAATTATGGAACCCAGACTTTATGTTACCTTTAAACTTGTTTCCCACACATCTAGATCACATAGTATCAGTATCCCAGTGCTAAATTCCCAGAGTAAAGATCTGATGGGCCCAGCTTTGGCCAAGTGTCTACCATGTCCAAAATCAATATTTATGATGTCTCTAGGGGTTCTCTTTTTTGAAGCTGTGAGCTGAACATGTTTTCTAAAGAAAGATGTGGTCAAGGAGTAAATTATCTGCATTTCTAGAACACCACAAAACAAAGGAGGAATAAGTAAGCAAATGGTGATGCAGTATGTAACTTATGCAGTCACCCAAAACATGTTTTCAAAAAGCACTTAACATTATTCAACAAATGATGCAGGGACAACGGGATTGCCACATGCAAAGGAATGGAGTTGGACTCACCTCATGCCATGTACAAAAATCAACTGCAAATGGATCAAAGAGCTAAATATAACAGTTAAAACTATAAAACTCTTAGAAGAAAACTTAGTTGTACATCTCCATGACCTTAGATTTGGCAATGATTTCTTAGATGTGAGACCAAATGATAAGCAACAAAAGAAAAAATAGGTAAGTTGGGCTTCATAAAATTAAAAGCTTTTGTGTATCAAAGCACACTGTCAAGAGAGTGAAAAGACAGCCCATAGAATAGGAGAAAATATTTATAAATCCTATATCTGATAAGGGTTTAATGTCCAGAATAGGTAAATGATTTATATAACTCAACAGCAACAACAAAACCACCCAATTTTAAAAAAGGCAAAAGACTTGAATTGACATTGCTCTAAAGAAGATATACAAATGGCCAACAAACACATGGAAAGACATTCAATGCCATTAGTGGTTACGAAAATGCAAATTAAAACCACAAAGAGTTATCATGTCATCTCTACCAAGATAACTATATTCAAAAACGTAGACAATAACAAGTGTTGGAAAGGATGTGGAGAAATTGGAACACTCACACATTGCTAGTGGAAATGTAAAATGGTGGACTCACTGTAGAAAACAATTTGGCATTTCTTCAATAAGTTAAACATAGAATTACCAGATGATTCAGCAATTCTGCTCCTAGCCGTATATCTAAAAGAATTGAAAACAGATGTTCAGACAAAAACTTACACATAAATGTTCACAGCAGCAGTATCCACAATAGTCAAAAAGTAGAAACAACCCAAATGTCCATCAAATAATGAGTGGATAAACAAAATGTGGTACAACCATACAATGAAATATTATTCAGCCTTAAAATGGAATGAAGTACGATACAGGCTACGACATAGATATCCCTGAAACATTATGCTAATGAAATAATCCAGTCACAAAAAGACCACACATTATATGATTCATTCATATGAAATGTCTCCCATAGGCAAATCCATAGAGACATAAATAAGTTTTGTGGTTGCTACAGAAAAGGGGAAAAATTGGGGAATAAGGTTTAATGGGCACAGAATTTCCTTTAGGGGTGATGAAAATGTTTTGGAAGTAGATAGTGATGATGGTTGTATAACATTATGAGTGTGTTAGATGGCTTTGAATTGTACACTTTAAAATGGTGAATCTTATGTTGTACATTTTAAAATTATTTATTTATTTATTTATTTATTTATTTTTAAAGAGATGGCCAGCCTGGGCAACATAGCAAGACTTCGTCTCTACTATAAATTTTTAAAAATTAGCCAGGTGTGGTGGTGTGTGGAGGCAGAAGAGGAAGGATCACTTGAGCCCAGGAGTCCAAGGTTGCAATGAGCTATAATTGTGCCACTGCACTCCAGCCTGGGTGACAGATTAAGCCCCCATCTTGAAAAAAAAAAAAAAAAAAGAGAAAGAAAGAAACAAATGAGTCTCACTATGTTGCCTAGGCTGGCCTTGAACTCTTGGGCTCAAGTGATTGTCTCACCTCAGCCTCCTGAATAGCTGAGACTACAGGCATGCACCACTGCACCTGGCTATTATACATATTTTAGCACAAAACAAATGTTTAATATCAGGAACACATAAGTGCTTTTAATGTAAAAAAGTCAAAATTTAAAAGTGAATGATTCCAATTTTGTTTTTTAAATGTAAACAGAGGAAAATGACAGGAAGCAGCGATCATTAATTCTAGATAGTGGCATCTGGGTGATTTGCACTTAGTTCTTTATACCATTTTATATTTTCCAAATTTTCCATTGTGACCACATATTGTCTAATAATCAGAAAAAAATGTTCTAAATAATTGAAAACAAAGTCATTGTTGCACGCATTACTAATGCTCACCAATGTCAGGTTGTCCTCTCCTCCCTAAGCACTAAGAAATGTGTACTTCTCAGACTCCTGCAATTAGGCAGGGCAATGTGACTAGTCACAGGCAATGAACAGTGAGCAGAAGTCATATGTGTGACTTCATTGGTTATTTATTTTTGTGTAGCAAAGTACCCAGAACTTAGTGGCTTAAAACAACAACAATCACTATTTACCTCATAAATCTACAGTTAAGGCTAGGTTCAATGGAAACACCTCAATTCTGCCTCAGGTCATCACCTGGGTGGCCTAAAGGCTGGGAGTGGAATCACATGAAAGCTGGCTCTTTCTCATGTCTGGGAGTTGATGCTGGCTCTGTAGGCAGGGACCCCAGCTGGGTCTATTAGCTAGAAAAGCTGAATGACTGCCATACAAGCTTTCACAACGTGAGAAAGGAGACATCCAATGGCTTATGCTGGGCACCATCAATATTTTTTTTTTTAGAACGTGTACCCACATTAAGATGAGCTGAAGAGTTCAAGTACTGTTTCCCTATTATTGAAGAAAATTGCAAATATGGGTAAAAATTCTTGCAAGAGGCAATCCTGGAAAAACAAATGTAATGCTCATTAAGCAAGGAATTTTTATCTTTCTTTTCAAAGCATATTGTCAACATGTATGAAAAAACCCAAGAGGACATATTTGCTAAAAATAACACAACATTGCAAAAGCACTTAGAAAATCAAGTAATTTATTAAAAGAAATTTAAGATGCTTTGGAAATATCTTTAATATTTGAGCATAATGCTGTAATAAGAACAGATATGGCAAAAGAAAGAATATTGAGCCACAAATGCTGGGTAGTTGACTAGTCTGAGTAGATGTGACATTTCTGCTCAATCTTTCTCCCCAAATGGAGTAAGAGTCCACAGAAAAGTCTACAGCAACCCTGTCTAAGTAATCTGTCCCATCCGCCACCCACCACTCCAACCATTTTAATCACACTTTATCTGTGCAAGTGGCCTTCCAGGGCCCCATGCTGGACACAGGAGTTCAACAACTCCTGGCTGCAGTATGATATTTAGAGTCCAAGAATATTTCCCACTAACTGGATCTGATAGAGTTTCTACCTCAATGAAAATGAGGAAAATATTTGGAGTCAGATTAATCAATCTTAATGGGTCAAACAAAAGGCGGGAGGTAAGCTTCAAGGTCAAGCATATGAGGACCCCAGGGGAGCTATGAGTCCAGGAAGTTGAGAGTGGCTGTAGGTGGGCCTGGTCTGGAAGAACTCCCTGAACTGAAAAACAATCAGCCCCATAAAGTTTCCATTGCACTTGAGTCCTTGTGTGGGCACAGACAATTTCTTGTTACATTTGTTCTTAGCCTAGAATAAGATGGTAATAATCAAGGATGCAGAGCTAGAGAAACTTCTCTACTATACCAAAATTTTCTAAAAGGCAACCTAAGTCTGTATTAAAATTAACACACAGGGTGCTGGTGGGTAAAGTTACAGAGCTTAAGAGTAAGCATGAGTTAAAATGTTGATCCTCCCAAAGATGTGAATAGACATTTCTCCAAAGAAATTATACAAATGGTCAATAAGCACACAAAAAGATTCTCAATATCACTACTCACCAGGGAAATGTAAACCAAAACCACAATAAAATACCACTTCACTTCCACCAGGATGGCTATTACGTAAAAACACATAAAATAAGTGTTGAAAAGAACATGGAGAAATTAGAACCCTTGTGCATTACTGGTGGGAATGTAAAACCATTGTGCAGTGGCTATGGAAAACAGTGTGGTAGTTCCTCAAAAAATGAAAGAATTGCCGTATAATCCAGAAATTCCATTTCTTTTTTTTTTAAATTTTATTTTAAGTTCTGGGATACATGTGTAGAATGTGCAGGTTTGTTACATAGTTATACATGTGCCATGGTGGTTTGCTGCACCCATCAACCCATCATCTAGGTTTTAAGCCCCACATGCATTAGGTATTTATCCTAATGCTATCCCTCCCCTTGCCCCCTACCCCCCGACAGGCCCCAGTGTGTGATGTTCCCCTCCCTGTGTCCATGTGTTCTCATTGTTCAACTCCCACTTATGAGTGAGAACACAGTGGTGCTTGGTTTTCTGTTCCTGGGTTAGTTTGCTGAAAATAATGGTTTCCAGCTTCATCCATGTCCCTGCAAAGGACATGAACTCATTCTTTCTTATGGCTGCATAGTATTCCATGGTGTATATGTACCACATTTTCTTTATCCACTCCATCATTGATGGGCATTTGGGTTGGTTCCAAGTCTTTGCTATTGTAAATGATGTTGCAATAAACATATGTGTGCATGTGTCTTTATAGTAGAATGATTTATAATCCTTTGGGTATATACCCAGTAATGGGATTGCTGGGTCAAATGGTATTTCTGGTTCTAGATCCTTGAGGAATTGCCACACTGTATTCCACAATGGTTGAACTAATTTACACTCTCACCAACAGTGTAAAAGAGTTTCTATTTCTCCACATCCTTGCCAGCATCCGTTGTTTCCTGACTTCTTAATGATTGCCATTCTAACTGGTGTGAGATGGTATCTCATTGTGGTTTTGATTTGCATTTCTCTAATGACCAGTGATGATGAGCTTTTTTTCATGTTTGTTGGCTGCATAAATGTCTTTTTTTGAGAAGTGTCTGTTCATATCCTTTGCCCAGTTTTTGGTGGGGTTGTTTTTTTCTTGTAAATTTATTTAAGTTCCTTGTAGATTCTGAATATTAGACTTTGTCAGATGAATAGATTGCAAAAATTTTCTCCCACTCTGTAGGTTGCCTGTTCACTCTGATGATAGTTTCTTTTGCTGTGCAGAATCTCTTTAGTTTAATTAGATCCCATTTGTCAATTTTGGCTTTTGTCACAATTGCTTTTGGTGTTTTAGTCATGAAGTCTTTGCCCATGCCTATGTCCTGAATGGTATTCCCTAGGTTTTCTTCTAGGGTTTTTATGGTTTTAGGTTTTATGTTTAAGTCTTTAATCAATCTTGAGTTAATTTTTATATAAGGTGTAAGGAAGGTGTCCAGTTTCTATTTTCTGCATATGGCTAGCCAGTTTTCCCAGCACAATTTATTACATAGGGAATCCTTTCCCCATTGCTTGTTTTTGTCAGGTTTGTCAAAGATCAGATGGTAGTAGATGTGTGGTGTTATTTCTGAGGTCTCTCTTCTGTTCCACTGCTCTATATATCTGTTTTGGTACCAGTACCATGCTGTTTTGGTTACTGTAGCCTTGTAGTATAGTTTGAAGTCAGGTAGCGTGATGCTTCCAGCTTTGTTCTTTTTGCTTAGGATTGCCTTGGCTCTATGGGCTCTTTTTTAGTTCCATATGAAATTTATAGTTTTTTCTAATTCTTCAAAGAAAGTCAATGGTAGCTTGATGAGAATAACATTGAATCTATAAATTACTTTTGGTAGTATGGCCATTTTCACTATATTGATTCTTCCTATCCATGAGCATGGAATGTTTTTCCATTTGTTTGTGTCCTCTCTTATTTCCTTGAGTAGTGGTTTGTAGTTCTCCTTGAAGAGGTTCTACACGTTCCTTGTAAGTTGTATTCCTAGTATTTTATTTGCTTTGTAGCAATAGTGAATGGGAGTTCACTCATGATTTGGCTCTATGGTTGTCTATTATTGGTGTATAGGAATGCTTGTGATTTTTGCACACTGACTTTGTATCCTGAGACTTTGTTGAAGTTGCTTATCAGCTTAAGGAGTTTTGGGGCTGAGAAGATGGGGTTTTCTAAATATACAATCATGTCATCTGCAAACAGAGACAATTTGACTTTCTCAGTTCCTATTTGAATATCCTTTATTTCTTTCTCTTGCCTGATTGCCCTGGCCAGAACTTCAAATGCTATGTTGAATAGGAGTGGTGAGAGGTGGCATCCTTGTCTTGCGCTGGTTTTCAAAGGGAATGCTTCCAGTTTTTGCCCATTCAGTATGATATTGGCTGTGGGTTTGTCATAAATAGCTCTTATTATTTTGAGATGTGGTCCATCAATACCTAGTTTATTGAGTGTCTTTAGCATGAAGCGATGTTGAATTTTATCAAAGGCCTTTTCTGCATCTATTGAGATAACCATGTGGTTTTTGTCATTGGTTCTGTTTATGTGAGGGATTACGTATATTGATTTGCATTTGTTGAACCAGCCTTGCAACCCAAGGATGAAGCCGACTTGATCATGGTAGATAAGCTTTTTGATGTGCTGCTGGATTCAGTTTGTCAGTATTTTATTGAAGATTTTTGCATCAATGTTCATCAGGGATATTGGCCTGAAATTTTCTTTTTTCATTGTGTCTCTGCCAGGTTTTGGTATCAGGATGATACTGGCCTCATAAAATGAGTTAGGGAGAAGTCCCTCTTTTTCTATTGTTTGGAATAGTTTCAGAAGGAATGGTATCAGATCCTCTTTGTACCTCTAGTAGCATTCGGCTGTGAATCCACCTGTTCCTGGGTTGTTATTTTGTTTGTTTGTTTTTTGTTTTTTTGTTTGTTTGTTTTGTTTTGGTTGGTAGGCTTTTAATTACTGCCTCAATTTCAGAACTTGTTATTGGTCCATTCAGGAATTTGACTTCTTCCTTGTTTAGTCTTGGGAGGGTGTATGTGTCCAGGAATTTATCCATTTCTTCTAGATTTTCTAGTTTATTTGCAGAGAGGTTTTTATAGTATTCTCTGATAGTAGTTTGTATTTCTGTGGGATCAGTGGTGATATCCCCTTTATCTTTTTTTATTGTGTCTATTTGATTCTTCTCTCTTTTCTCCTTTATTAGTCTGGCTAGTGGTCTATCTATTTTGTTAATCTTTTCAAAAAACCAGCTCTTAGATTCATTGATTTTTTGAAGGGTTTTTTGTGTCTCTATCTCCTTCAGTTCTGTTCTGATCTTATTTCTTGTCTTCTGCTAGTTTTTGAATTTGTTTGCCTTGCTTCTCTAGTTCTTTTAATTGTCATGTTAGGGTGTCAATTTTAGATCTTTCCCACTTTCTGATGTGGGCATTTAGTGCTATAAATTTCCCTCTTAACACTGCTTTAGCTGTGTCCCAGAGATTCTGGTACATTGTCTCTTTGTTTTCATTGGCTTCAAAGAACTTCTTTATTTCCTCCCTAATTTCATTATTTACCCAGCTGTCATTCAGAAGCAGGTTGTTCAGTCTTCATGTAGTTGTGTGATTTTGAGTGAGTTTCTTAACCCTGAGTTCTAATTTGATTGCACTGTGGTCCAAGGGACTGTTTGTTATGGTTTCCGTTCTTTTGCATTTGCTGAGGAGTGTTTTACTTCCAATTATGTGGTCAATTTTAGAATAAGTGCCATGTGGTGCTGAGAAGAATGTATATTCTGTTGATCTGGGGTGAAGAGTTCTGTAGGTGTCTGTTAGGTCCACTTGGTCCAGAGCTGAGTTCAACTCCTGAATATCCTTGTTAATTTTCTGTCTCATTGATCTGTCTGATATTGACAATGGGGTGTTAAAGTCTCCCACTATTATTGTGTGGGAGTCTAAGTCTCTTTCTAGGTCTCTAAGAACTTGCTTTATGAATCTGGGTGCTCCTGCATTGGGTGCATATATATTTAGGATAGTTAGCTCTTCTTGTTGCATTGATTCCTTTACCATTATATAATGCCCTTCTTTGTCATTTTTGATCTTTGTTGGTTTAAAGTCTATTTTACCAGGGACTAGGATTGCAACCCCTCCTTTTTTTTTTTTTTTGCTTTCCATTTGCTTGGTAAATATTCCTCCATCCCTTCATTTTGAGCCTATCTGTGTCTTTGCATGTGAGATGAGTCTCCTGAATACAGCACACCAATGGGTCTTGACTCTTTATCAAATTTGCCAGTCTTTATCTTTTAATTGGGGTATTTAGCCCATTTATATTTAAGGTTAATATTGTTATGTGTGAATTTGATTCTGTCATTATGATGCTAGCTGGTTATTTTGCCCATTAGTTGATGCAGTTGCTTCATAGTGTTGATGGTCTTTACAATTTGGTACTGGTTTTTCCTTTTCATATGTAGTGCTTCCTTCAGGAGCTCTTTTAAGGCAGGCCTGGTGGTGACAAAATTTCTCAGCATTTGGTTGTCTGTAAAGGATTTTATTTCTCCTTCACTTATGAAGCTTAGTTTGGCTGGATATGAAATTCTGGGTTGGAAATTTTTTTCTTTAAGAATGTTGAATATTGGCCCCCACTCGCTTCTGGCTTGTAGGGTTTCTGCAGAGAGATCCGCTGTTAGTCTGATGGGTTTCCCTTTGTGAGTAACCTGACCTTTCTCTCTGTCTGCCCTTAACATGTTTTCCTTCATTTCAACCTTGGTGAATCTGACGATTATGTGTCTTGGGGTTGGTCTTCTTAAGGAGTATCTTTGTGGTGTTCTCTGTATTCCCTGAATTTGAATGTTCACCTGGCTTGCTAGGTTGGGGAAGTTCTGGATAATATCCTGAAGAGTGTTTTCCAACTTGGCTCCATTCTCCCTGTCACTTTCAGTTACACCAATCAAACGTAGGTTTGGTCTTTTCACATAGTCCCATATTTCTTAGAGGCTTTGTTTGTTACTTTTCATTCTTTTTTCTCTGATCTTTTCTTCACACTTTATTTCATTAAGTTGATCTTCAGTCTCTGATATCCTTTCTTCTGCTTCATCAATTCAGCTGTTGATACTTGTATATGCTGCACAAAGTTCTCATGCTGTGTTTTTCAGCTCCATCAGGTCATTTCTGTTCTTCTCTAAACTGGTTATTCTAGTTAGCAATTCCTCTAACCTTTTTTCAAGGTTCTTAGCTTCCTTGCATTGGGTTGGAACATGCTCCTTTAGCTCAGAAGAATTTGTTATTAACCACCATCTGAAGCCTACTTCTGTCAATTCGTCAATCTCATTCTCTATCCAGTTTTGTTCCCTTGCTGGCAAGGAGTTGTGATCCTTTGGAGGAGAACAGGTGTTCTGGTTTTTGGAATTTTCAGCCTTTTTACGCTGTTTTTTTCTCATCTCCATGGATTTATCTACCTTTGGTCTTTGATGTTGGTGACCTTCAGATGGGGTTTCTGTGTGGACATCCTCTTTGTTGATGTTGATGTTATTCCTTTCTGTTTGTTAGTTTTCCTTCAGGCCCCTCTGCTGCAGGTCTGCTGGAGTTTGCTGGAGGTCCATTCCAGACCCTGTTTTCCTGGGTATCACCAGTGGAGGCTGCAAAACAGCAAAGATTGCTGCCTGTGCCTTCCTCTGGAAGCTTTGTTCCAGAGGGGCACCTGCCAGATGCCTCCTGTATGAGGTGTCTGTTGACCCCTCCTGGGAGGTGTCTCCCAGTCAGGAGGCACAGGGGTCAGGGACCCACTTGAGGAGGCAGTCTGTCC
Source organism: Homo sapiens (assembly GCF_000001405.40). Lineage (NCBI taxonomy): Eukaryota > Metazoa > Chordata > Mammalia > Primates > Hominidae > Homo > Homo sapiens. The sequence goes on along the minus strand of NW_017363813.1, from coordinate 43,827 downwards.
CTTCACAGAGCTCAAGCGCTGTGCTAGGAGTTCCACTGCTCTCTTCAGAGCTGGCAGGCAGGAACATTTAAGTCAGCTGAAGCTGTACCCACAGCCGCCCCTTCCCCCAGGTGCTCTGTCCGAGGGAGATGGGAGTTTTATCTATAAGCCCCTGACTGGGACTGCTGCCTTTCTTTCAGAGATGCCCTTCCCAGAGAGGAGGAATCTAGAGAAAAAGGGAGTGGTGGGAGTGTAAATTAGTTCAACCATTGTGGAAGACAATGTGGCAATTCCTCAAGGATTTAGAACCAGAAATACCATTTCACCCAGCAAGCCCATTACTCGGTATATACCCAAAGGATTATAAATCATTCTACTATAAAGACACATGCACGCATATGTTTATTGCAGCACTGTTCACAATAGCAAAGACTTGGAACCAATCCAAATGCCCATCAGTGATAGACTGGATAAAGAAAATGTGGTATATATACACCATGGAATACTATGCAGCCATAAAAAAGAATGAGTTCATGTCCTTTGCAGGGACATGGATGAAGCTGGAAACCATCATCCTCAGCAAACTAACACAAGAACAGAAAACCAAACACCACATGTTCTCACTCATAAATGGGAGTTGAACAAGGAGAACACATGGGCACAGGGATGGGAACATCACACACCGGGGCCTGTTGTGAGGTGGGGGGCTAGGGGAAGGATAGCATTAGGAGAAATACCTAATGTAGATGACGGGTTGATGGGTGCAGCAAACCACCATGGCACATGTATACCTATGTAACAAACCTGGACATTCTGCACATGTATCCCAGAACTTAAAGTATAATTTAAAAAAAGAAAAAATTATTAAAATTGTAAATTTTATGTTATGTATATTTTACCACAATAAAAAAATTTGTTAATGTCATTCCTCTATTCCACCTTCATCTTCTTGAATCTCATCCACACACTTTGTGAGGGCTGGGGCCATGTGTTTCTTTCTCACCTCTGCATCTGTGGCCCCAGAGCAGAGGCTGACCCATTGCACACACTCAATTAATATTTTCTTAATTAAGGAATGAATAAAAGCTAAAGTATATTAAAGGAGGGAGACACAGTAGAAGAATTTGAGATGGGTAAGTTCAGAGTAAGTGTTTTCCAGAACTCCAAGATTAACAATATGATCTAGGGAACAAACAAGGAGATTGAGAATAAGAAGACTTTGCCCTATGGACTCTAACTCCATCTCTTCTTCTCTGGGCTAAGTTTACCCCTCAGACTGTCTTGAACTGGTGAGAACATATCTGATTATCTTTAAGTATGATTCACTCTTTGGAAAATCATGCTATTAGGCCTGATTGAGTAGTGAAAACCTTAATTATTCAAAATGAATTCATTTAAGCTGCCTAATTTCATTAGTTAGTATTCTTTTAACTCCAAGTTAAAAAAACCCACATCAACATGACTTGAACAATAAGATTCAACAATATCTTCAGGCTGATGTCCAGCTCTTTCTATATATTCTTTCTTTATATTTTGTATAATATCAGCAGAAACACTAATTGTTTCATGATAGATTCATCTGAAATGTGACAAAGAGTCTTCTCTTGGCCAAACTTTACTCAGGATTCTGGACCTTCTCCCAGGGCCCATCTGTGCACTTCCTTGTAAAATCCAGCTTTAGCAAAGGGACCTGCTTAGTAAGTTTAGCCAGAACGCTCTGTCTTCAATATCTGATTATCCTTGATATCTGATTATGTTACACACCCTCCATCATCCCCCAGGTGATGTCTGATCACCCTGGCCTGTCTTCAGCAAGAATCTTGTTGGGTCGGTTTAGCCAGAATCTCCCTTAGTAATTTTCCAACCACTGACCCTCACCCTGCTCCTTGGCTGTAAATTTCTCCTTTCCATATTCAGAGTTGAGTCCAATCTCTCTCCCTGACTGCAAGATCCCATTTTAATTGTCCCCACACCTATTGTAATGGTCTTGAATTGAAGTCTTCCTTACCATGCTTTAACAAGTATCATTGAATAATTTGTTTCTCAACAAATTTACTCATCCTTACAGAAGTGAAGCAGCCTGAACCAAGAGTGTTACTAATTCACTGTTGGGGAGGGGAGTAATGAATCGTGAATACACAGTCCTTTCCTCCAGTACCCCTCATTGTTGGAGAGTATTCATCCACAGTGATTAGGCTGGAGATCAGTCAGGAGTGGGTACACCAGAGGGATATCTTGGAATCAGTTTATATCATAATGAAAGAGCAGTGGTTCTCAAATATGGGTAATTTTGCCTCCCCAGGGGACATTTGGCAATATATAGAGGATTTTTTTTTTTGTCTAAACTGGGGTGGAGGTGGGGTGATAGTCCTCCTGGAATGCAGTGAGTAAAGGCCAGGATGTTACTAAACATCTTAGAATGCAGAGGACAGCCCTCTTACCTCACAAAGAAATATCTGGTCCAAATGTCAAGAGTAACAAGGTTGAAAACCCCTGAGACACAACGTTAGATCTGTATACCCATAGTAAAAAATTTCTGTCTAGAAGTTGAAAGAGAATAGGCACCATGATAAAATGAGCAAAAAGAATCTTGGAACTAGACTTCATAATGAACATTAGATCAACAGAAAGCCCTTGTTTCAAAAGCAATTGGCTGAAAATGTAATACATTATTTGTTCAGACGAAAATGCCAACCTGCTGATAAGGAATGAGGTTGACATGGTCTATTCCTTGTTAAAGTCCTAGAAGTTAAGTCCCTGGGTGCCAGTGTGGGCTCCTGCACTAACTAAGTAGTTGTGTTATTGTAAAGTCACTTAAAGATAGAAGGACCAATTTCCCCAGATGGATCACTGGGTTTCAAACACTTCTATCTGCCTCTGGAGGTGCCACAGGGATTTTCTGGTGAGGGGTACAAGTAATCCGCCTGCCCCCTTTTCACCCTCCTGCACCAAATCACCTATGCTTTATGTATTTGACATGAAATAGGTCAAAATATAAGCAGTATAATTCATATGTGCTAGATTATATATATGCAGTGTTCCTTTGTTTCTAGAATTGATCTCATTGTCCTCTTAGGTGTTCTTTCCAGTGGAGAGAGTAAAATCTTAAACTCATTGATTAAAGTTATCTCAATATTTTCCTGTTTAAAACAGCCTTTTTCAGTTTACTAACACCAAAAATTTTTTATCTATGGGGTTTTTTCTTTGTTCAGTTTTCAGTAAACAGCAGAATACCTTCTTCAAATGATATAGAAGCCAAGTATAGACATGATGGAGTAAAAACAGTAAATATCAGCCAGGCACGTTGGCTCATGCCTGTAAGCCCAGCACTTTGGGAGGCTGAGGCAGGTGAATCACAAGGTCAGGAGTTTGAGACCAGCCTGGCCAACATGGTGAAACCCTGCCTTTACTAAAAATACAAAAAATTAGCTGGGTGTAGTGGTGCACACCTGTAATCTCAGCTACTCAGGAGGCCAAGGCAGGAGAATCACTTGAACCCAGGAGGCGGAGGTTGCAGTGAGCCCAGATCGTGCCACTGCACTCCAGCCTGGGCGACAGAGTGAGACTTCATCTCAAAAAAAAAAAAAAAATGTAAATGTCTAGTCATATAGTCAAATCAAATGATGCAACTTGGCTGTTTTCTCTCTTCTCCAAGATAGCATCTAGAGGGAGGAAAATTGCATGATCTCCAGGGGAGAAGCCCGCTGGCCTATGTGCAGGTTTTCATGCTGTCCTCTGAAAACCACCTGGTTCCTTGTTTCTACTGGTCACTAGATGACTGGCTATCATCAACGATGCTTGATGATTTGAGCTGTTCTCTTTGGCACCCCTGGGACCAGGTGGTTCCCTGACCACCTCCCCCAGCCAGCCCAGCCCACCCCCACCGCCTGCTATATCTGATTTGTTTAGGCCTTTCAATACTGGGAGAGCAGCAGGGCTGCCATTCTCCACCCAAGCTCTGAGAATACCACATTAAGGACTTAGTTTTGGCTACATTAATATTTGCTTTATTCACCTCATTTCTTAACGACCATTTAAAGTTTTCCACTTTGCTTAGCCAAATTTGTGCACAATTTGCCCCTCTTTCTTTCCCCTTTGTTGTACCTATTCTCTTATAAATCATTCTAACCTATTTCCCTATCTGTTGTTTCAGCATAATTTTTCCTTTCATAGGGGTTCTGAGGCTAGCAGCTGTAGCTTGGAATAGAAGGAATCCAGGCTAGACCCAGGATGGGGGTCCACACAAACACTTTCTTTTGTTTTTATTTTAACTATATTCGTTGGTAGAGGCTCTACAGGCTAATAGTTGCAGCTTGAACCAGCTGGAATCCAAGCTTTGCCCAGCATTAGGATTTACACCAAAATTCTTGCATTACTTCTTACTCACATTTTAGATATGACAGATAACAGTAACCAAATATCATATATTTTTCTTTTTCTTTTTCTTGTTACTCTGCATTTCCTTAGGCATCCAGTGAGACAACTTCTTAGAGTTGGGTCCATCATTTTAAAATTCCATTGGTAACTTTTACCTTCAGTAACTGATTATAGCACAGCTATAGTTCCATATCATGGCTGACTCTGTAGCCATCCAGAAATGAAAAGTTCATTAACATCCACCCTTTCATCCTTTTTCTTCCCAAACTACATGCTCCAGTGAGTCAGGTTTGGTCCCATGAATCCCTCTTCTGACACCAACTGTGATAATTTGGAGCCAACTACAAGTTTAGAGAGCACAATATCCACAAAATGGCCCTCACTTCTGACAGCAACTGCAATTTCTGGTAGGTTCCCAAAGCCACTTTCAGTTTTCATAATTTTCCATAAGGACTCACAGGATTTCACTGAAAGTTGTTATACTGATTTTTACAGTTTATTATAGGGAAAGGATGCATATTCAAATTAGTCAAAGGAAGAAGTACAGGGCAGAGTTTGGGAAGATGCCAAACCTGAAGCTTCTGTGTCCCCTTTCCTGTGGAGTCAGCATGTATACTTTCCCAGCATCAATGTGTGGCAATATGCAGAGTATTGCCAGTGAGAGAAGCTCACCTGAACTTCAGTATCCAGAGTTTATATTGGGGTTTCATTATGTGCACATGACTGACAGACTGCCAACATGATTGAATTCAGTCTCTAAGTTGACTTACACCATGTGACCCAAAGCTCACACTCTGAATCACATGTTGATCTTTCTAGCATGACCAGCCCCCACCCTAAATCACATATTTGGTCTTTCTTGTGTAGCTAGCCTCACCCTAAGATCTGGTGTGGCCAGCTGCCACCCTAAACAAGGACACTCCCATTAAGTATTATATAGATCAACTCTCAGAAGCTGAGGGCAAAAGCTAGTCCTCTCTCGGGGTGAGGCCAAATTTTTTACTACACAGACCTGTACCTCACACCATATATAAATATTGACTCAAAATAGGCCAAAGACCTAAATTTAAGAGCTAAAACTATAAAATTCAGAATAAAACAAAGGTGTAAATTTTCATGACCTCCCACTAGGCAGAGGTTTCTTAGATACATCACCAAAAGTACAAGTGACAAAGGCAAAAATAGATAAATGGGACTTGACCAAAATGTAAAATATTTGTGTCTTAAAGGACACTATCAAGAAAGTGAAAAACAACCTACAAAATGGGTGATAATATTTGTACTTTTTTTTAGTATTTATAATGAATTTTTAAAATTTAATCTTTATTGGTTTAACTATAAAATTAATATTGCTCATTCTAAAATATCACATTTTAGGAGTTTATAACCCACCAAAAGGGAATCCAATAGTAACTTCCTATAAGAAAGCTACTCTTAACAATTTGGGGCAATATTCACAGAAATAACATTTTTACAAAAAATTTAAACTTTAAACACTGCTTTACAACTTGTTGTTTTCCCTTAATTTATATCAAGGCCACATTCTGTGTCAGTAGTTACATTGCTATTTCGTATTATACTATATGAATTTACAATTATTTACTGCTTCTCTATGAATGCACACTGGGGTTGTTTCCATTTTTTCTTTATTAAAAACAGTGCATCAGTGGGCATCCTTCATATGTAATTTTGATTGAAGTTACACATGAATAAAAGTCAGAGCTAACTGTGTAGATGTCTTTTCAAGTACTTCAGTGGATATCTGCTGTTTTGACCTGCCCAGTTAATTCTCTCATCTTCCTGTAACACATCCCATTTTCCTTTGGAGAATTGCCTCCCATATTCCATGCAGTTCTTAATGGGGCTGCAAATCAGAGTACCCTGCTACTCTGGCCATAGTAATTAGTGCAATAGGAGAGCCTGTGACCCAACCGAGTAATCAGATCCCTTCTCTGGGATTTAACATACGAATCCTAGCAAAGAAAAGCTCTTTCTTTACTTGGAGATGGTTCCTGGAAACATAGGAGCCTAGAGCTCTGTAGCCAGACTATCCCTTCCTTACTGCCTGAAGGGATCCCACTTAGAGTCAGAAAAATAAAATAGGTAAGAATGAGACTATTGCACAGAGGAAAACAGGTATGATCAAGAATGAGCTAATGACATTCACATTACTGAATCCAGTCCTAACCGAAGCAGTATCCACTCCTAGACTTCCCAGTTACTATATATAACAAATTCTCTTTTCTGTAGTTGGGTTTCTGTCTTTCATACAATAGTCCTCCCTTATCTGTGTGGTTTTGCTTTCCACGGTTTCAGTTACCCACGTTCAATAGCAGTCTGAAAATAGATGAGTACACTGCAATAAGATATTTTGAGAGAGAGAGAAAGCATGTTCAGATAACTTTTATTACAGTATATTGTTTTAATTGGTCCATTTTATTACTAGTTATTGTTGTTAACCTCTTACTGTGCCTAATTTATAAATTAAACTTTATCATAGACACATATGTATAGAAAAAAACAGTATATATTAAATTCGATACTACCTTCAGTTACATGCATCCATTGGGAGTCTTGGAATGTATTCCCTGTGAATAAGCGGGGACCACCGCAATGGAAAGCCTCACTAGTCATTACATTATTCAGCATCTTTTTACATCTGATGTCAGACTAGAAGTCTGGATGTGGCAGAATTCTAGTTGGTGCTAAAAGAGAAAGGCCCCATCTACTAACATACATGCAGTCAGCACAAACCACATAATCCCTAAGCACCTAGTGGCTGTTTGGCTGTACTGGCTCCTTGGTTTCCTAGCAACCAAGCTCCTTTCTTCTTCACACACTCACACCTTTTGTGACATTGCCTTCTCAAGGCTGCCCTTAATGTGAATGTTTGGGAGGTAGAAAAGGAAAAGGCAAGGAAATATACACAATATAATTTGCTCCAGGACTGGAGACTTGAGAACATATGCTAGAGGTGGCCTAGCTTACAGATTCAGAAAATTCACTGGCAGACTGAAAATAGCAAGAAGCCGGGCACAGTAGCCTGGGTCTGTAATCCCAGCTACTCATAGGCCAAGGTGGGAGGATTGCTTGAGGTTAAAAGTTTAAGACCAGCCTAAGAAACATAGCAAGACCCTGCCTCTAAAATTAAAAAAAAATTAAAAAAAAAAAAAAGTTGGTCATGGTAGTGTGTGCCTGTAGTCCCGGCTACTTAGGAGGTTGAAGTGGGAGGATCACTTGAGCCCAGGAGTTCCTGGGTGCAGTAAGCCATGCTTGCACTATTGTACTCCAGCCTGGGTAACAGACAGAGACCTGTCTCTAAATAAATAATCAGTTAAGTAAAGCAAGAGATTTTGCTTTGGTGTTAACATTCTTGCCTGCTTATACCTAATTATTTTTGTTAAAAAAATTAGTATGTATATTATTCAGTTAGGGCTACCACAACAAAATACTATAGATTAAGTGGCTTAAACCACAGAAATTTATTTATGCACAGTTCTGGAGGCTAGAAGTCCAAGATCAAGGTTCTAGTCAATTTGGTTTCTGGTGGAGTCTTTATTCCTGGCTTGCAGATGACCACCTTCTCACTATGCCCTCATATCACCTTTCTCCCATGTGTGCAGGGAACAGAGGGTGCACAGTCAAAGGATCTTTCCTCCCCTTCTTACAAGGTCACTAATCCCACCATGAGGGCCCCACCCTCATGACTTTATGTAACCCTAATTACCTCCCAAAGTCCCCATCTCTAAATAATATCACATTGGGAATTAGGGCTTTAGCATATAAATTTGGGGTGGGGGTACACAAACATTCAGTCCACAACAATACCTGAATATTAATAAAAGATGTTTTATATTCGTAATTCACATGATATTCACAACAGTGATGTGATAAGATAGGTTATATTGATAAAATTTTACATAATTGAAAAGTTAAGGGACACAGTCAGAAGACCAGAACAGCATTCCTCCCATCTGTGGACTAATTTATATTGTCTTCTGATCCCAGAGGCTTTCGATAATTTTCTCAGTCACAAGCAATGTCATATTAGGCACAACACTGCTAGAACTATGGTTTATTTGCTACTTTTTTTGGCAGCACACAAGGCCCTTTCCCTCAGTATTAGTTCCAATGCCGCATTATATAGAAATCAGTTAATAAATAGATGTTGTCATGAGGATGGCTACATAGGGTGCATAAATTTACAAGAGGAGAGCAACAGACTGAAATGTTAAAACTGATTTTATTTTCATTCAGTGGCATTGGATGCACTGGCAGCTCTGTCCATCCAGAGGCTCTCCAGAGTCTGCCTGGCCCTTGACCCCAGGCTCTCTCTCCTACCACATCAATCTATTTCTAAGAGTCTACTTCCAAATAGAACTGGAACCTGCTGCATGTCATCTTCTCTATTACCAACACCTGCAACAACATCTTAGTTGGTTTTTCTGTTTCTTCTCTGGGGTTGCCAAATAAAATACTGGACACTCAGTTAAACTTTAATTAGAGATAAACAATGGACAGGTTTTTTTTTAGTATAAACTGGGCACCATATATATATACATATATGTGTGTGTGTGTGTGTGTGTGTGTGTGTGTGTGTGTGTGTAAATACGTATTATATATGTATTTTTTCTAATTTTGGCAATTCTTCCTCTAGTTAATAGCTGTTTGAAAACGCAAAGCTGATTACTTCCCTCCCCTGCTTAAATTCTTCAAAATTGTGCCATTGCTCTTAGGAAAAAACTCAACTTCTTAACGTCAAAGCCTGCATGACCTAGTCCCCCCAGATAAGTTGGATTCTGGAGCCAAATTGCTTAGGGCTCATTTTATATATCTCACTCAAAGGAGCCTTCCTAACATCTCGATCCTAAAAAAAGTACCCTCCTATAATCCCTCATTGTGCCCTTTACTTTCCCGGCATGGCCCTTGTTGAGGAGGATGGATCACTTATTCCCCTTTCCCTGTGTTTCCAAATAGGGGGCCCTCCACTGGGGTAACACTCCTCACCTCTTGCCTTGCCCCTAGTGGAGGAGCAACCACTTCTCTTATTGGTGGGTTTGGGGAAAGAACTGGCCATGTGTGGCCTGGCCCTTCCCACTTGAAGAAATTGCTGGTCGGGACTCTTCTACACCTGCAAGTAGACTGACAGGACAGATCGGTTCCTGGGGCCTGGGATTATGCAGAGAAGGGTGATAAGTACAATTCAGCTGTAGCACATTAACAAGCCCAGTTGGTCAGACCTAAGCCATATTCTTCTTATTAGTAATGAAAGTGATAGTGTACCTCCATCCCCTTGACTCCTATGCCTGTCTCAGCTGTTTCTAAGTCAAGATAAGGGGAAGAGGAACATGTTAATTATTAACTTCCTAAACTCTCAGTAGCTTTCACTACAATATATTTATTTATGTTTGTTTAGCAGTTTATTGAATGTGTAGGGACCATGCCTGTTTTACTTACTGTTGCATCCCCGAATGTCTACTACAGTGCTAGGCATAGGTTTTATCTTTTTTATATCGGGATGATTGAATAAATAAATAAATAAATAATAAATAAATGGTACCTTGTTGCCTACCACAGTCCTGCCACCCACACCACTCTGAGCATACATACAGCCTAGGATGGGGAGGGGAGTTGAGTCCTAACTCTGATCACTTGGCGATAGCTGTTTGGTGCTCCATGTTGAGAAACGCACTGAGATTGTGCTTAACCTCATCATAAAATTGCACCATGATCAATTCTTCATGTCTGCCACGCATGCCAGAGTGGGCAGTGTGGGACAGCGTGCATAGATTTGCCCTTCTCGGCTTAGAAATGTCTGGGGCCATATTGTTCCCCATCAGATGTACTCACTTGGAGCAAGGCCAGTCTAGATGGGATTTCAGCTGCTGTTCTTTTCTGGACACTGATTTGGACATCTGGTCATTTCCTGCTGAGCCTATCCTACAGCGGAGTGAGTGCTGCAAATGCAGTCCCCATTCACTTCCTCCTAGCTTCCTCCCCTTTCTTACTGGGTCCAATGGAGGCCCAGCAGGAAGCAGTCACATAAATTATGAAAAATTTTGTCACAGCCCATAAACCTCACTATGGTGGAAGGAAACAGGTTATAGGCTGGCTTCAGTTGAGGCAAATCTCAAGGAAGATCTCTCATGAGACAGTCAATTCAGCTGTAATTCAAAGACTTTCTTCTAACACTAGGGGTTCTGCCTAAGGGAAGTCTCCTTGGAGTGACTCCAATCCTGAAGCTGTGGATCTTCTGGCTCATATGGTCTGCTTCCATCCATTCAGACAAGGCTGCTTGCTTTCGTTTTTGAGATTATTTTTGTGTGTGTTTGTCTTTAGGGGAGTATGATCTTTCCCAGTTGGTGTTCTAAGTACTCCTCTATATATAGCTTCCATTCTCCGTGGTCACTCTATCCTCCATCCCCTCAGACAGTCTCATCTCTTCTCTGACACAGCTTACACCCACACCTTCGCTAGATTTTAATCATCATCATCACCTCATGTCTCCTCTTCCTGTCTTTCCCTTTTATTTCCCCTCCCAAATTCTATGGTCCTTTGCATTTCTGACCCTGGTTATCACCTGTCCCAGCCAAAGATTCTTTCTCCTAGCCCAGTGGTTCTCAACCCTGGCTGCACATTAGAAATCACTTGAGGATCTTTTGAAAAATCTAATGCCCAGGTGACACCCAGACCAATTAAATTAGAATCTCTGAGGATGCAACCTGAGCATCAGTATTTTTTAAATCTCCCTAGGTGATTACAAGGTACAGGCAAAGATGACAACAACAGCTCCAGCCCCAGCGTGGATATTTACAAAGCACCATTCGGGATTTTTGAACTATATAACTATACGTTAAAAGCATCCTCCACCTACTGACCTTCATTAGTCATACAGAAGATTTTAGAATTGAATGAATGGGGTACCTCAGAGGCATCTAGCATTTGATAGAACAGGAGACCTGCAGGATGTTCACAGCAATTGGAAAAAAAAAGATTCTGTCATCAAGTTTGTATAGTACTTCATTCTATATACACTTTCGGAGATTTACAAGGCAAATTTACCTCAAGGTTCTGATAAATGCGCAGAAAAAAAAAGAGACAACAGTAATTCATTTAACTTGACATCTAGGTTTTCCAAATTTATTTAAGGACACCTATTAACACCTTAGGGAACTCACTTTTAAAACTCTCTTAATCCAACTTTTTCATCTGACCAAGGCATGGAGGGGTTAAATTATTTAAACCCTTAATATTTACACAGGTCACCTCGTGATGAATTTTTGCATTATTAAGGATTGAATTTCATTTTCCTTTAAATATGTAGTACTTCCTCCCTAGCTGTGGTGCATTTCTGCATTCCTTCGCATGAGACACGATCATTAAGGTTCAAAGGCACTGAAGTGGCAGTGTTAGTAACAACTGTTGGTTGAATATTAATCAGATATTGGGTGAAATACTTTAAATATTATAGTTTATTTATTAATTCAACAAATCTTGATTGAATGCTTTCCTCTCTAGAGTAGCATCTTGTGCATATTTAGCAGGAGTATATGCAACTGTGGAATAACAGGAACAATAACAGTAATAATACCTAAATGTTCTATAGCATTTAGCATGAGTCAGACACATGGGCTTTACCTTTATTAACTCATTTATGTCTCACAATAACCTCTATGAGGTTGGTTGTATTATTTTCCTCATTTCACAGATGGGAAACTGAGCCACAGAGAGGTTAAATAAGTTGCCTAAGGTCACAGCACAAGCTAGTCAGTGATGGAGCAGGCTTTCAGTCTGTTTCCAGTGGACAGACTCTTAACCACTCCTCTACACCATGTGCTTCATAACATGTGGACAACAATCTAAATAGTGAGATCATTTCTATCTGCCAGTTTATTTAATGAGCTTGGGGTGGGGGTTCCATATTTCTCTCAGAGTAAAAGTATCTTGCTGCATTGAGTGTAATCCCTTTGTTTAAAAATCCTACTGTTTAAATGCTACAACACCTAATACCAGCTATTTCACCTGCTGAAATAAAGATCTGTTCCAATGTTGTGGTAGAAATGACAGTGTGGGCTTCTAAAAGAAGTGTAGGCTTCCAGCAGGCTGCTCTCCAACATGGCAAAATCCTAAGGAACTATTCAAGGGCAATTTTAACTATATTCAATTTTCACCTTAAATCCTCAATTACCATTTGAGATGTGCACGGTGCTGAGTACTTGCCATTGAGATATAAAGAAAAGTCTGCTGGGGGACTTCTGGGAAAGCCATGACTTTCCTCATAAAGGGAGACAAGTACAGCTTCAGCCAGACCTTTCTCTTTCTGCCTTGAATGCAGGTGTGATGGATGGAGCATTGGAGCAACCACAAGGGAAAATAATACAGACATGAAGAAAACAGTAAAGATGCTGTCCCTGACATCATTGAGCAGTCAGCAACTGCCCACTACCAAACTTATTGTCATGTGAAAAATAAAAACCTCCAATTCTTTAAGTTTTGGGGGTCATGTTTTTTGTTTTTTGTTTTTTAGATGGGGTCTCACTCTGTCGCCCTGGTTGGAGTGCAGTGGTGTGATCTTGGCTCACTGCAGCCTCAATCTCATGAGCTTAGTGATTCTCCTGCCTCAGCCTCCTGAGTAGCTGGGACCACAGGCATGTGCCACAATACCCAGCTAATTTTTGTATTTTTTGTAGAGATGGGATTTCTCCATGTTGCCCAGGCTGGTCTCGAACTCCTGGACTCAAGTAATCAGCCCACCTCGGCCTTCCAAAGTGTTGGGATTACAGGCGTTAGCCAATGCACCCAGCCCATGTTTTCTTTTATTCTAGCCAAAACATTCCTTTACTGATATACCTACTCTGATGGCACTTACTATTCATCTGGACAAACAGAAATTAATTATGTATAGCATATAGATCAGAGCATACAGCATACAGAGATATAGATCTCTGTATCTAGCATTTAGATATAGATAGATCTGTATTATAATTATATTTCCATTTACAAACCGAAGTTTGTTTCTCCATATTCTCTACAATTCACTTAAATTTTTAATTGAGGCCTTATTGTGCCAGGCAGTGGAAACTTACTTTCCTCAATCCGGATGGGTATCCTCCTGTGTCTAAGGGGCAATGGGGGAAGGTGGGCTTCATTGGGTCAAGATACTGGTGGAAGCAGGCATCTGGTCTCAGCCATTATCCTCCCACACTAATATCTGTGGAGACATTTATTCTGTCTGGGTCCCTCATTTGTGACTAAGGGATCCTTTGAGCCCAGCCCTTTCAGTGAGTTCCAGGAACTCCTTGGGTGCATAGGGAACCATCCCATGCCATACAGGGCCATGCCTTACAGGGCCAAACATTTCTCATGCCATACAGGGCCGTGGAGAAAAGCAAGACAAGATGATGCCCCACCCCAGGAGCAACATGGAGCCAAGGGAACCCCGCCTCCCCAGGGAAGCAGTGACTGAATATGCAACCTCGGGAACCCATGCTTCTCCCACAGATCTTTGCAACCCTCAGGTCAGGAGATCCCCTTGTGAACCCACTCCACCAGAGCCTTTAGTCTGACACATAGAGCTATGTGGAGTCTCAGCAATGCAGCTGCTCTGGTCAGGGGCATGCATGGAGACCCAGGAGCCTTAGATACTTGCACTCTCTGGGCTTCCTGGCAAGAGCAGCTGCAACTCTGGCAAAGCAGGAGGTTATACCTCTGTACCCCTAGGAAAGAGGTTATACCTCTGTACCCCTAGGAAAGAGGGGACTGAGAAGCAACAGTCTGCAGGCTCTACTTCCACTACTCCTCTCAGGATAAGTCCCACTGGCTTGGCATTCCAGCCAGCCACCAGTAGTGGCACTGCACCTCCCTAAGAAGGGGCTTCCAGGGGGAGGGGTGGGCTGCCATCTTTGCTGTTTGGGTGACTTAGCCATTCCAGCCTTCAGAGAGTCCAAGCTGTCCAGAGGCAGAAGGGATCCCCCAGCATAGGACAGCTGCTCTATGAAAACATGGCCAGACTGCTTTTTAAATTGGTTCCCTAATCTTGTTCCTCCTCACTACATAAGACTTCCCAACTTGTGGTCTCCAGCCACCCTCTCCAGTGTTCTCCAGCCAACAGAGTTTTGAAAACCTCCTGGGGTGGAGCTCCCAGAGGCAGAGGGGCAAGCCGCCATCTTTGCTGTTTGGGTGACTTAGCCATTCCAGCCTTCGGGCTTTGGAGAGTCCAAGCCAACCAGGAGAGGAAGTGGTACCCCAGCAGAGCACAGCTGCTCTACAAAAACGTGACCAGACTGCTTCTTTAAGTGGGTCCTCCATCTTGTTCCTCCTCACTTGATAAGACCTCACGACTGGGACCTCCAGGCACCCCAGACAGTGTTCTCCAGCTGACAGAGGTTTCAAACCTCTCTGGGACAAAGCTCCCAGAGGGAGGGGTGGGCCGCCATCTTTGCTGTTTGGGCAATTTGGCCATTCCAGCCTTTGGGCTTTGGAGTGTCTAAGATGACTGAGGCCTGAAGCAGACCCCAAGCACAGCACAGCTGCTCTGTGAAAATGTGGCCAGACTTCTTTTTTAAGCAGATCCCCAACCACATTTCTCTTCACTGGGTGAGACCTCCCAACTGGGTCTTCAGCCACGTCCTACAGGTGTGTTCAGGCTGGCAAAAGGTCTATACCTCCTTAGGATGGAGCTCCCAGAAGGAGAGACAGGCTGCCATCTTTGCTGTTTCATAGCCTTCACTGGTGATGCCTCCAGGTACTGGAAATTCCAAGGGGACTAGGAACTGGAGAGGACTCCCAGCATACTACATACAGTAGCCCTACAGAAAAGTGGCCAGACTGTTATATGGGTGCCTGTTCCTGTATCTCCTCAATAGGTAGGTCCTCCAGGCCTGGTCCTGGGCCTCTAGCCACCCCCTATCAGAGCTATCAAGCCAGTAGCAACTCAGCAACTCCCCAGACAGTGTTTCCAGGGACAACTGAAAGCTTCTCTGACACGGCCTCTGTGGTGGAACTGTCCTTGCTACCCTTGGACTAACAAAGAAGCAAAGACCCTCAGTGCATTATCCACACGTCCAACAAGTTGCAGTTGACCCAAGGAAAGGAGGCTGGTCCATCTCCCCCGGGTCCCACACAACCCCACTGCTCATCGCCAGACAGGGAACCCCTAGCTTAGGTCCATGGCACAGATCCTCCATCCTGGGCTGATTGCACTGAGCAATTGCTGACCCACATCTCTCTGGGGTAGAGCCCCCAGGAGACAAGCAAAGTGGTGGGGCAGCTAGCCAGCTGATGTGGAGCACAGGTGGTTTGGTGCAGGGGTGTCTGTAGTGGAGCATAGCCAGGAACAGCCATCCCTCTAGGCTCAAATTGCTCTCATAAGAGACTTTAGCCCTAGGGAAACTATTTGACCTGATCTCTGCAGAATGGTCTTGCACATCAGATGGGGCTGGTCTGACCTGAGCACTCCTTGGTCTGTTGGCCACTCCCAGGGCCCAGCCTGACCACATATGCTTACAGGGAAGTCTTGGATGCCCTGGGGGCCCACAACATAGCTTCTATGCTGGCAGACCATGGAGAGCTTGCTGGAGAGCTCCAGCAAGGCGGCCCTTACAGCCGTGCACCAGTCCACATGTTCCCTCTCCGTACTGGAACTTCCCCTGAGCCCATGGCTACTCTCCAGATCACTTTGTTCATGCACGTCTGCATGGTCAGGTTTTGCTTTGCTTGCCCAACCAGCACACAGGTGTGTAGCATCCCCAACCCTCCACTGACCACCATTGTAGACAGAGCCTTGGTGGGCACCAAGCCAGGAAACCCCACCACTGCCAGTACCCTGCCCTTGTGCTAACACTGTGCAGAGAACAGGGGATCCTCCCACCCCCTGAGCTATTACTCCTGTTTGCAGGGCAAAGAAGGCACCCAGACCTGTGCTGGCCAGCACCTTGCCCCAAGCCAGCACCACCTCCAGTGCAACAGCACACAGAGTCCCCAGCTGCCTTGCCTCCTCCACTGTGGTAAATTCCCCCAGGGAGACAGGCACCCCCACGTCCACTGGCACTCTGTTAAAGCTGCTGCACCTCAGCCCACCCCCCAGCACAGTGGACTCCAAACCTTGAGGAGCCAGAGGACAAAGTTGGGACCCAATACAAGTCCCTCAGAGTTAGAGCTCACAGTCTAGGAGTTGGGGACTGAGTATTGGCCCCCTAAAATCTCCCAGAAATGAGGCCAGTTGGCTGAATACACCATATATCACAATCAAACCCTCAAGGTCACCAAATAGGATAAAAGAAAAAAAAACCCATCCACAGGTCAGCAACCTCAAAGATTAAAGGTAGATAAGCCCTGACAGATGAGAAAGAATCAGCACAAGAATGCTGAAAACTGAAAGAGCCAGAGTGCCTTCTTTCCTCCAAATGACCTCATCACCTCTTCAGCAAGGGTTTGGAACTGGGCTGAGGCTGAGATGGCTGAAATGACAGAAGTAGAATCCAGAATATAAATAGTTATAAGTTCATTGAGCTACAGGAGTACATTGAAACCCAGTGCAAGGAAGCTAAAAATTATGATGAAACATTGCAGGAGCTAACAAACAAAATAGCTAGTATAGAGAAGAATGTAACTGACCTGATAGAGCTGGAAAACCCACTGTAAGAACTTCATAATGCAAGTATTAATAGCAGAATAGACCAAGTGGAGGAAAGAATCTCAGAGCTTGAAGACTGGCTTTCTGAAATAAGACAGGCAGACAAGAGTAGAGAAAAAATAATGCAAAGGAATGAACCAAACCTCTGAGAAATATGGGATTATGTAAATAGACTGAATCTATGACTTAGTGGTGTAACTGAAAGACATGGGAAGAATGGAACCAACTTGGAAAACATGTTAGAATATCATCCATGAGAACTTCCCCATCCTAGCTAGAGAGGGCAACATGCAAATTCAGGAAATGCAGAGAACGCCAGTAAGATACCTCACAAGACGATTATCTCCAAGACTCATAATCCTCAGATTCTCCAAGGTTGAAAAGAAAGAAAAAATGTTAAAAGAAGCTAGAGAGAAAGGCCAGGACACCTACAAGGTGAAGCCCATTAGTCTAACAACAGACCACTCAGCTAAAACCCCACAAGCCAGAAGAGATCAGTGACCAATAGTAACATTCTTTAAAGAATTTCTAAGCCAGAATTTCATATCTGGCTAAACTTAGCTTCATAAGCAAAGGAGAAATAAGTTCTTTTCAGACAAGCAAATGCTGGAATTTGTTACTACCAGACCTGCCTTACAAGAGCTTCTGAAGGAAACACTAAATATGAAGAGGAAAGACTGTTATCAGCCACTACAAAAACACACTGAGGTACACAGACCAGTGAGACTACAAAGCAACCACATAAACAAGTGTGCAAAATAACCAGCCAGCATCATGATGACAGGATCAAATCCACACATATCAATATTAACCTTAAATGTGAATGGGCTAAAGGCCCCAATTAAAAGATGCAGAGTGACAAGCTGGATAAAGAACCAAGACCCACTGGTATGCTGTCTTCAAGAGATCCATCTTACATGCAATGAAATACATAGGTTCAAAATAAGAAGAAAAATCTACCAAGCAAATAGGAAACAGAAAAAAAGTAGGAGTAGCAATCCTAGTTTTTGACAAAACAAACTTTAAACCAACAAAGATCAAAAGAGACAAAGAAGGGCATTACATAATGGTAAAGGGTTCAATTCAACAAGACCTAACTGTCCTAAATATATATACACCCAACACAGGAGCAACCAGATTTATAAAGCAAGTTCTTAAAGACCCTCAAAGAAACTTAGATTCCCATGCAATAACAGTGGGAGATTTTAAAACCTTACTGACAATGGATCATCAAGACAGAAAATTAACAAAGATATGCAGGACCTAAACTCAGCACTGGATCAAACGGACCTGACAGATATCTACAGAACTCTCCACCCAAAAACAACAGAATATACATTCTTATTACCACATGACACATGCTCTAAAATCAGTCACATAATCGGAAGTAAAACACTCCTCAGCAATGCAAAAGAATTGAAATTATAACAGTTTCTTGGACTACAGCAGAATCAAATTAGAAATCAAGACTAAGAAATTCACCCAAAACTATGCAATTACATGGAAATTGAATAACCTGCTCCTGAACGACTTTTGAATAATGAAGTTAAGGCAGAAATCAAGAAGTTTTTTGAAACTAATGAGAGCAAAGATACTACATATCAGAATCTCTGGGACACAGCTAAGGTAGTGTTAAGAGGGAAATTTATGGCACTAAATGCCCATATCAAACAGTTAGAAAGATCTCAAGTTAACAACTTAACATCACAACTAAAATAACTGGAGAACCCAGAGCAAACAAATTCCAAAGCTAGCAGAAGACAAGAAATAACCAAAATCAGAACTGAACTGAAGAACATTGAAGCATGAAAAGCCATTAAAAAGATCAATGAATCCAGGAGCTAGGGTTTTTTTAAAAAAATAATAAAATATACTACTAGTTAGACTAATAAAGAAGAAGAGAGAGAAGATCCAAATAAACACAATCAGAAACAACAAGGGAGAAGGGAGATATTAGCACTGATCCCACAGCAATACAAACCACCATCAGAAAATATTATGAACACCTTTTTGCATATAAACTAGAAAATATGGAAGAAATTGTTACATTCCTGGACACATATACCCTTCCAAGACTGAACCAGGAAGAAATTGAGTCCCTGAACAGACCAATAATGAGCTCTCAAACTGAGGCAGTAAACAGCCTACCAACCAAAAAAAGCCCAAGACTAGACAGATTCACAGCTGAACTCTACCAGGTGCACAAAGAAGAGCTAGTACCATTCCTACTGAAACTATTCCCAAAAACTGAGGAGGAGGAACTCCTCCCTAACTCATTCTATGAGGCCTGCATCATCCTGATATAAAACCCTGGCAGAGATACAACAAAAAAAGAAAACTTCAGGCCAATATCCTTGATGAATATCAATGCAAAAATCCTCAACAAAATACTGGCAAACTGAATCCAGCAGTACATCAAAAAGCTTATCCACCACGATCAAGTAGGCTTTATCCCCAGGATGCAAGGTGACTCAGCATATGCAAATCAATAAATGTGATTCATCACATAAACAGACCTAAAGACAAAAACCAAATAATTATCTCAATAGATGCAGAAAAGGCTTTCAACAAAATTCAACACTCAACATTCATTCATGTTAAAAGCTCTCAATAAACTAAGTATTGAAGGAACATATCTCAAAATAATAAAAGTCATATATGAAAAACCCACAGCCAACATCATACTGAGTGGGCAAAAGCTAGAGGCATTCCCTTTGAAAACCAGTGCAAGGCAAGGATGCCCTCTCTCAACACTCCCATGCAACATAGTATTGGAAGTATTGGCCAGGACAGTCAGGCAAGAGAAGGAAATAAAGGTCATCCAAATAGGAGGAGAGGAAGTCAGATTATCTCAGCAGACAGCATGTTCCTATATCTAGAAAACCTCATAGTCTCCATCAAAAGCTTCTTAAGCTGATAAACACCTTCAGCAAAGTCTCAGGATACAAAAACCAATGTGCTAAAATCACCAAAATCACTAGCATTCTTATTCACCAACAATAGTCAAGTCAAGAGCCAAATCAGGAACTAACACCCATTTACAACTGCCACAAAAGAATAAAATATCTAGCAATACAGCTAACTAGAGGAGTGAAAGATCTCTACAAAGAGAACTACAAACCACTGCACAAAGAAAAAGAGATGATACAAACAAATGGAGAAACATTCCGTGCTCATGGATAGAAAGAATATTGTTAAGATGGCCCAAAGCAATTTATAAATTCTGCCCAAAGCAATTTATAAATTCAATACTATTCCTTTAAACTACCATTGAGATTCTTCACAGAACTAGAAAAAACTATTTAAAATTCATATGTAAGCAAAAAAAGCCCAAACAGCCAAGGCAATCCTAAGCAAAAAGAACAAAGCTGGAGGCATCATACTACCCAACTTCAAACTATACTACCAGGTTACAGTAACCAAAACAGCATAGTACTTGTATAAAAACAGACATCTAAACTAATGGAACAGAAAAGAGAACCCAGAAATAAGACCATAAACCTACAACTATCTGATCTTCAACAAACCTGACAAAAACAAGCAATGGGGAAAGGATTACCTATTCAATAAATGGTGCTGGAATAACTGGCTAGCCATACGCAGAAGATTGAAACTGGACCCCTTCCTTACACCCTATACAAAAATTAACTTAAGATGGATTAAAGACTTCAATGTAAAACCCAAAATTATAAAAACCCTGGAAGACAACCTAGGCAATACCATTCAGGACATAGGCACAAGAAAAAATTTCATGACAAAGACACCAAAAGCAATTGCAGTAAAAGCAAAAATTGACAAATGAGATCTAATTAAACTAAAGAGCTTCTGCACAGCAAAAGAAACTATCAACAGAGTAAACAGATAACCTATGGGATGGAAGAAAATTTTGGCAAACTATGTATATGACAAAGGGTCTAATATCCATCATCTATAAGGAACTTAAACAAATTTATAAGAACAAAACAAACAACCCCATTACAAAGTGGGCAAAGGACATGATCAGACACTTTTCAAAAGAAGACATACATGTGGCCAACAATCATATGAAAAAAAGCTCAACATCACTGATCACTAGAGAAATGCAAATCAAAACCACAATGAGATACCATCTCACACCAGCCAAAATGGCTATTAATAAAAAGTCAAAAATGACAGACGTTGGCAACATTGTGAAGAAAAAGGAATGCTTATACACTGTTGGTGGGGGTGTAAATTAGTTCAACCGTTGTGGAAGACAGTGTGGTGATTCCTCAAAGACCTAAAGACAGAAATACCATTCAACTCAATAATCCCATTACTGGGTATATACTCAAGGGAATATAAATCATTCTATTATAAAGACACCTGCCATTTTAACTGGCATGAGATGGCATCTCATTGTGGTTTTGATTTGCATTTCTATAATGACCAGTGATGATGAGCTTTTTTTCATATGTTTGTTGGCCACATAAATGTCTTCTTTTGAGAAGTGCCTGTTCATATCCTTTGCCCACTTTTTGGTGGGGTTGTTTGTTTTTTTCTTGTAAATTTATTTAAGTTCCTTGTAGATTCTGGATACTTGACATTTGTCAGATGGATAGATTGCAAAAATTTTCTCCCATTCTGTAGGTTGCCTGTTCACTCTGATGATAGTTTCTTTTGCTGAGCACAAGCTCTCTAGTTTAATTAGATCTCATTTATCAATTTTGGTTTTTGTTGCAATTGCTTTTGGTGTTTTAGTCATGAAGTCTATGCCTATGAAGTCTGTGTCCTGAATGGTATTGCCTAGGTTTTCTTCTATGGTTTTTGTACATATGTTTATTGCAGCACTATTTACAATAGCAAAGACTTGGAACCAACCCAAATGCCCATCAATGATAGACTGGATAAAGAAAATGCAGTACATATACACCATGGAATACTATGCAACCATAAAAAAGAATGAGTTCATGACCTTCGCAGGGACATGGATGAAGCTGGAAACCATCATCCTCCGCAAACTAACACAGGAACGGAAAAGCAAACACTGCATGTTCTCATTCATAAGTGGGAGTTGAACAATGAGAAGACATGGACACACGGAGGGGAACATCACACACTGGGGCCTGTCGGGGTGGGAGGTGCAAAGGGAGGGAGAGCATTAGGACAAATATCTAATGCATGCAGGGCTTAAAACCTAGATGACGGGCACATGTATACCTATGTAACAAACCTGCACATTCAGCACATGTATCCCAGACTTAAAGTAAAATAAAATTTAAAGACACCTGCATGCATATATTCATTGCAGCATTCTTCACAGCAGCAAAGACATGAAATCAACCTAAATGCCCATGAATGATAGACTGGATAAAGAAAATGTGGTACATATACACCATGGAAAACTATGCAGTGGTAAAAAAGAACAAGATCATGTTCTTTGCCAGGAACATGGATGGAGCTGGAGGCCATGATCCTTAGCAAACTAACACAGGAACAGACAACCAAATACCACATGTTCTTACTTATAAATGGGAACTAAATGATGAAAACACATGGACACATAGAAGGGAACAACACACACTGGGGCATACTGAAGTGTGGAGGGTGGGAGAAGAGAGAGGATCCGGAAAAATAACTATTGGTTACTAAGCTTTATACCCGGGTGATGAAATAATCTGTACAACAAACCCCCATGACACAAGTTTACCTATGTAACATACCTGCACATGTACCCCTAAACTTAAAACAAAAGTTAAAAACAAAAACTGAAGATAAATGTCTGCATAGATATCAGATATTATAGTCATTTTGATGGCAGTGCAATTACATTTCATGAATAAAAGAATGCCTAAGAGGGTCAAATAACTTACTAAATAAGGCAAGTAAACTATGATTCATGTGAATATATAAATATTCATAAAAAATTGCTACATCTTGTGCAACCTCTGCCTGGGGATGAATTTTGTTGATTTGTACTTTTGATCTTTGAGTTAAAATTTCTGCTCATTCTGACTTCTAAAACCTGCTTGAAGATAACACATTCATATCCACAAACTCAGATCTTACATTTCTGTATAATTGTGCATCATAGAACCAGATTAGAGTTCCAGTTACATCTGTCAATTCGATGACCATTAAGCCATCTTCTTTGCATTTTCAGATAAAGATGATTAACTTGAAAAGGGAATCCATTTTTTTTTTTTTTTTTTTTTTTTTTGAGACGGAGTCTCGCTCTGTCGCCCAGGCTGGAGTGCAGTGGCGGGATCTCGGCTCACTGCAAGCTCCGCCTCCCGGGTTCACGCCATTCTCCTGCCTCAGCCTCCCGAGTAGCTGGGACTACAGGCGCCCGCCACTACGCCCGGCTAATTTTTTGTATTTTTAGTAGAGGCGGGGTTTCACCGTTTTAGCCGGGATGGTCTCGATCTCCTGACCTCGTGATCCACCCGCCTCGGCCTCCCAAAGTGCTGGGATTACAGGCGTGAGCCACCGCGCCCGGCCGGGAATCCATTTTTAAAAGGCACATATTCTACCTTTTTGGTTATAGAAAGAAATTCTAAACCAGTGATTTTTTTTCAGAATTATTTTTTTCAAAGGTATGAAACATTAAGACTACTTCATGCTTAACATTTGTTATTTTAATAAGAAGAGCTCTAATTAAATACAAAGACCACTCTCCTTCTGCTTTAGGTTGGACCTTTGCATTCCTTTTACCTGGCAGTAGTGTGCATGCTTACTAGTAGTTAATTATCTGTGTTCATCTCTTTCACTACACTGTCCTCAGAGCCCAGACAAATGCCTAGCACACAGGAGGGCCACAAAACTAATCTGTGAGCTGTCTGATTAGTCAACCCCATTGGTTCTACCTTATCGGCCCCTCCCTGTCCCATCTCCCTGGCAGCACGCTAGTCAGTGTCTTATCAGCTCACGTGGACATTGTCATACTCCCCTCCTCACAGACTGCTCGCCTCCAGTCTTTGCCTCATGCAAGCCATTCTGCACACTTCTAGTGAACCCACCTGCTAAAATCCCTTGTGCATTACCTTGCAATTCTCAAAACCCTTGACTGGATTCCTGATGCTCACTGAAAGAAGTTAAGCATGGCAGTTAAAAGTGAGAATTCTGGAATCAGACTGCTGGAAGTCAAATGTTGGCTTCCACTTTAATAGTTGTGTGACACTGGGCAAGTGTTACACAAAAGTAGTATCACCAATGTTAGAATCAAGTCCAAATTCCTTAGTGTTAGCCAAGGCATTCTACCATCTGATCTTAGTGAGTGTGTTCAATTTTATCTTTTTGTCTTCTACCCCTTCCCCTACACTGTGAGCCATCTCCTGAGGCTGATAGGTCTATATCCAGCTTTCCTACTTCCAGACTTCTGGGGCCCACTAGAATGTCTTGCTACTGCTCTTTGCTTACATTGCTTATATCATTTTCATCCTTCAAGGAACACCTCAAGTCTCCCTGCTTCCACAAAGCCTTCCCTGATGGGATCAGACCCCACTGCTCTCACCTACAGCTCTTAGGAATCCCATCCCATATTTTCCAGTTAAGTAAGTACTTCCCAAGGCAACTCTTATTTTTTTCAACATACATTATTTTTAAACCTTAAACATACAGTTCAACTTAGTTCATAACACTCTATCATTGTTGGTTTATGGAAGAGTCTTTATTTTATTTTCTTGTATTATTTATTTTATTTAAAAATGTCTTCCTTTTATTTCCCATTTCTTATCCTAGTATTCATCAGTATTATACTCTTTATTTCATCTTCCTTATTACTTTTTCCTCTCAACTTTATGTTTTTAAGACCTACCCATTTTGATAGCTGGATATATGACTCTAGTTTGTTCCTTGGAACAGCTGAACAGCATTTCATTCTTTTTGCTTGGACTGCATTTTATTTCTTCATTCTCTCATTGAAGGGCATGAAGCTTGTTTCAAGTTTTTGTTCATGTAAAATGCTGGGATGAAAATCTTTGCTTAGCTCTCAATTTGTGTGCCTGTTCATTCTTTTATTCAAAATATATTTATCTGGTGCCAGTCTGTGCTAAAGACAAGTAGCTACTGGGAGTACAGCATAATTGGGAATAGACAAAATCCCTTCCCTTATTTTAGTATGGAAAGAAAATAAATAGACAATAAACATACAATGCTAGGTTATAATAAGTGCAAGGAAGAAAATAAATCAATAAATCAAGATAAGAGGACAGATAGCAATGGAGGATGCTGTTTCAAATCCAGTGGTCAGGAAAAGTCTCTCTGAGAACGTGGTAACATTTGAATAGAGACGTGAATGAAGTTAGAGAGTGGGCCATGCTAATATCTGGAAAAGGAGCATTCCTGGCAGAGGGAACGGCAAGTGCAAGACGTGTTCCAGAACTAGCAGTGGGTGAGGCTAAAGCACAGTGAGTGAGGGGAGGCTGAAGGGGAGCACGGAAGAGATGAGACTACAGGAATAGGGTGGAGCCGAATCAGATAGCATCCCCAGGCCATGTAAAGACTGATGCATCCATTCTGAGTGAAGTAGGAAGGATTTTGAGGAAAAGAATGACAAGACCTGACTTTTTGAAAAGATCCTTCTGGCAGCTGAGTGGAGAATAGATGACAGGAGAGTAAGGATGAGAGGGAGAATCCAGTTAGGAGACCACTGCAGTTGTCCTGAGCAGAGATGGTGGTGCTTAGACTGAGTGGTGGTGGTGGAGGTGGGAGAAGGGTAGGAATACTGCAGCATATTTTGAAAGTAGAGCCAATGAGATTTGTTAATGGATTGGGTATGGGGAACGGGAGGAAGAGAAGCATCAGGGGCGACCCCAATAGTTCTGACTTGAGCAGCTGGGAAGATAAAGTTGTACCATTTATTAAGAGGAAGACAACAGGTAGAACAGGTTTCAGGGAAAAACCAATGGTTTGGTTTTAACATTTTAAGTTTGAAATGCTTATCAGACATCCAAGTGGAGCTGTCAAGAAGGTAGTTCTGGAATTTGGGATTAAGGTCTGTGCTGGAAATAAAACTAGAAAGTTGTCCTGGTATACATGATACTTAAAGCCAAGCTTATGCAGGGAGTGAGTGTAGATTGAGAAGAGAACAAGTAAGGGACTGAGCCCTGGAGCAAGGCAACACATGGAGTCCGGAAAGGGGATGAGGAGCCAGCAAAGGAAAGTGAGAAGTAGATGCCATGAGACAGAAGACTCAAGCAAGAGAGAAGCATCCCTGGGGCAGTGAAGAAAGGGCCTCAAGACAGAGGAAACTATCTATTATGTCAGCGGTGTTGATGGGCTCAAAAAGGGGAAGACTGAGAATTATAGACAATTCTTTGGAGACATTTTACTGTAAAGGGAAGCATAAGTATGAAGCAAAACATAAAGGGGAATGTATAAAAGAGGGATGTTTTCTTTCCTTTTTTCTTCCCTTTTCCTCCTCTCCCTTCTCTGCTTTCCCTTCCTGCCCCTCTCCCTCTTTCTCCTCCTCCTCCTATGTGGGGACTGCTACAGCATACTTGTGTGAATGACCCAACAGGGTGGGAGAAACTGATGATCAGGAGACAGTGGTGACGGTCTAGGAACATGGTTCGTGAGGAGATGAGAGACATGGAAAGAGTTAGTGTCAGGAAGGGAGGAAGGCAGAGGATACAGGCACACTTACTGGTAGATTGGTAGATTTGGCAATGGGAACGTGGGGAAATATTTTTCTGTTTGCTTCCGTATTCTCAGTTCGATAAGAAGTGAGGTCATCAGCTGAATGTGAGGAAGAAAGAGAAGATATGAGAAGAAAGAAGTTGAGAAGGACAGTGATGGACTTGAGAAATATGGTAAGATTACCTGAAGATCAGTTTGATTCATAGGCCAGGTAGGGTGGGAGTGTGGGAGTTTGTGTGGGGCCTACACATAGAAGAGGATTTGTGAGATCATAGGGTGCGCATCTAGGCAAATCCACTAAACATTGCTCATTGCTCTCCAGAATGGTCTCACTAGTGATGGATGGGGTTTCTCCCTCTCCAAATTCTCATAGGCACTTTAGGAAATCCAGGTTTTTTATTTTTTCTATACCTTTCAGGTAAATTTGTACTTCCCTATATATTTTTCATTTCTCTGATTTTTATTTATTTTTATTTTTATTTTTTATTTTGAGACAGAGTCTCGCTCTGTCGCTCAGGCTGGAGTGCAGTGGCGCGATCTCGGCTCACTGCAACCTCTGTCTCCCGGGTTCAAGCGATTCTCCTGCCTCAGCCTCACGAGTAGCTGGGACTACAGGCACGTGCCACCATGCCCGGCTAATTTTTTGTATTTTTAGTAGAGACGGGATTTCACCGTGTTAGCCAGGATGGTCTCAATCTCCCGACCTTGTGATCTGCTCGCCTCAGCCTCCCAAAGTGCTAGGATTACAGGCATGAGCCACTGCGCCCGGCCCATTTCTCCACTTATGAAAGTTGAGCATCTCTTCCCACGCTTATCAGCCTTTCCACTTTCCCCTTCTGTGAAATGCTTATGCATATCTGTCCTAATTTGTGTTACCTGGAAAGCAGGTCTCAGTCACAGACTTGGGTGCAGGTCATTTATTCAGAAGTACAAGCAAGGGAGTAAAGACAGCAAGACAAGGAAAGGAGAAAACCCACTAAAGGGTAAGTTATGGGCAGATAATTGCTGTGGACAACCAGAGCTCAGTCCTGCTGAGGACCCTCTGAGGACCTGTGTTGAACACGCCTCAGAATTTTCCTACCAGGATATGGGGAAGCTAGGCTGTTTATATGCTACTCACTGGTCTTCTTTGGTTGAGAGCTGCCCCTGGTGAGATTCAGCCACTAGCTTGTCCCATTTGCACTGCACCTAAACTAAGCAAGTTCCCACAGTACCTGAAAAAACCTTGAGGCTGAGAAAGAGAGAGGCTCCCACACAGGTGGGAAGCAGTGTGCATGCTGGGAACCTTCGATAGTAACTGCAGGGGAACACAGAGATGGGCCACGAATGTGGGCAGGGCATCAGCAGGGTCCCCTACAATATCCTCATCCTTTTCTTTTCTTATCCACTCGCAGGAGTTTTCTGTGTATTCTAGTTATTTTTTGTCAGTTATTACCACTTTGTCACCTCCAAATCTATCACACATCTGGTAACTTTGTGGTATCAGAAATCTTTAATTTTGGTGTCATTAACTCCATTGATTGTCTCCCTTGTGGTCTGTACTTTTTAGCACCTTACAAAATTCTTCTCCATTCCAGTGTCACAAAAAAAAATTCTCCATTTGCTGCTAACCGATGTATGGCTTTGCCTTTCATGTTTAGGCTTTTACTCTACCTAAAGTTTATTTTTGTATATAGAAAAAGGTGGGCATCTACTCCAAGTTTTTCCCACATGATGAACCAGTTTTCTAGGGACTATTGATGAATTCATCTTCCCTCTACCAGGCTATGATGCTACATACATATTCCAAGTTCCCATGGACATCTGGATCTGTTTCTAGATTCTACCCATTTGTCATTCATTCAGTTCTTCAACCTATTCCTTATATTGGCAATTGTAATTTTTATATCTAGTACCTTTGATTGGCTCTCCTTCAAACTACTTATTCTTGTTTCATATTTGCAATGTTTTATTTGGTATTAAGATTCCTGTTCATATCTGTCAATAGGTCTGCTTCTTCTGCTGTAGGCTGTTCTGTTTGTGGTTATTCTTTCACAGTAACTGTTTTTCTTAAATTGTCCCAAGATTTTTTTACAGTGGTCTCATTGTCAGTCCTTTGAGACCATCAACCACCTCTGCTCATGAGGCTAACTGGGGGAAGTAGCAAAAGCCCATGGCCAGGTGGGTTTGGGGAATGGATGAGATACCTTTCTACTGAAGCTTCATGAGACCACATTTTCCCCTTGGTGCTCCTCTAGATATTTCCCCCTCCCTCCATCCCAGGTGTCACTCTCCTCCTGGGACAGCCACCCTGTTGACCAATAGTGGCAGTCCTCATCCCAGCCAGGCTTTCCCTTTTTCTATTGTCCCTTACTACCCCACGTCCTGCTCCCACCCCAGACATTTTACTTCCTAACAGGACATCCCAATATCCTTTATTCATTACTCATGACATGACTTTCAAACTCCTGATCACTCACCAATGGGCACATTTTAATTTGTCATTGTCCTTCTGAAGATGTGGTGCCCAGATCCAAATACAATGCTCTGAGTGTTCAAATGAAAACATTTTACCAGGTAAATATCAAGGTTGTAAAGATTCTTTCTGTTTCCTTTGTTTCAGCCAGGAAGTTTTCAGTTAAATATTTTAATTGTTAAGTCAATTATAAGGAAATCATAAGATGTGAGAAAATTATCTTAGCAAGGGAGAATGAGATTGTTAGACTCACACAATGGATTATAGTGAGGAAAGAGTTGACAGAGATGGATGATTAAAAGAACAATATTAAGCAGTCTTCTTAGGTATGTGAATCATCCTTAGCTACACCTGGGACAAAGAAATTACAAGAAGACTAAGGAGACTAAGGAGAAGACACAGTGAAATGTAAATAAAAGAACAAAGGATATGTGTATATGAATGGAGAAAAGGAAAATTCTAGAGTCTGAGAAAGTCAAGAAAGAATTAAATACAGAAATGTGAAGCCCCAGAAAAAAAACAGAAACATTCATGAAGTTTCCCCATTCATTTCTGAGTGCAGTTTTTAAAATGGAAAAAGAATCGTTATCTTTTTAAGTGAATGAAATTCATAATATAAATTGTTCATATATTGCTGCCTAAACTTTGCTCTCCAAAAATTGCTTCTAAAAACTATGAAATAGGGACATTTACATGTAAAACTATTTAAATAAATGTCTACAACTAAATCAGAGAGTGTGTTTTTGGAAGATACAACCAACTGGTTTTGAAATTTAAGAATATTTTTATTCTCAAGAATAGAATGAAAGATTTTTATTAAGAAATGAAAAGAATTTTCCAGCTAGTCAATTCACACTTATCCCTCTGCTGGATTCAAGTTTCAAAGATATGGGGGCTTATATGTTTGTGAAATAAAGGAAGGAAGGGAAGAATGAAAAAATAGGATGAAACAAGGAAGATGGAGAGGAGAGCAGAAGTCAAGACTGCTGATAGAATTGTCAGAATTTAGGCCATCGGGGCCTTGTGAATTTCTTCAGTGGTGTCCCTGTTGAATCGTGGTGGTAAGGACAACTTACAACTAAGCACTTGCAGGCTCTTGCTTTATTTCTATCCTTTTATTCCTTTATTTTCTGGAGCTAAAAAGGATCTGAGTAATGTTTGCAACTATGTCAAATTGATGATGATGATAGTGACAACATTGGATATCACCCCTTTCCCTGCTCTTCTTTTTATCAGAAGTCCCTGAAAAAGTTCTCTGATGTGTTCACCTCTTCTTGGTTCACTCCTATACCTACTCCACTTCCTCTTCTTTCCTTTTCCCTTGAAGCCACTCCAACCAGGCACTTACCCTGGCCACATCACTACAAGAGGGTACCCAGAGATCTCCACTTTGCTAAACCCAACCAGTGACTAGATCTCAACCACAGATCTTTGCTCTGTAAGCAGCATGTGATACAGCTCATCATCCTCTTTTAGAAAAACTTTAGAAATTCTTCTGGCTTCCAGAATTCCACACTTGCTGAGTGTCCACTTCTTACTTCCCTGGCTGTTCCTCTCAGGGCTACTTTTCTGGTTCCTCCTCATCTTCCTGACCTCCAAGTGTGCCCCAGGCCTCAGTTCTTAGCCTTCTTTTTGTATCAATATTCACTCCCATTTATAGGCCAGCTTCCTAATTTTCATCTGACTGTAAATCTTCAATGGGTGTTAAAGATGAAAAACACCCATTTTGCATGCTTTATTAGATGAATAATTTCTGCCCAGCAAGATATTCATGTCCTAGTCCCCAGAGCCTATAAGTATGTTACTTTACACAAAAGGGACTTTGGAGATGTGATTAAGTTAAGGATCTTGAGAGGGGTTGATTATCTTGGATCATCTGGGTAGGCACAATGTAATCACAGGGCCCCTGTAAGAGGGAAGCAGGAGGGCCAGAGTCAGCAAAGAAGTTATGAAGAGAGAGGCAGAGATCATGGAGAGACTTGACGATGCCTTAGTGCTGGCTTTGAAGATGGAGGAAGGGACCACAAGCTAAGGATATGAATGGCTTCTAGAAGTTACAAAAAACAAGGAAATAGATTCTCTCCTAGAGCCTCCAGAAGAAAAGCAGCTCTGCTGACACCTTGATTTGAGCCCTGGATGACCCATTTCAGACTTTTGACCTCCAGAATTGTACATAATACATTCGTGTTGTCTTAAGCCACTTTGTATAATATGGTACAGCACCAACAGGGAAAACTTACATACATATAATAATTTGGTACACAACCAATAGGAAAAACTTATGCACATACTAAAGTGTTTTGAAGTAAAGTACACTGATTTCTGCAAATTTCTTTGATATGCATCAAAAACATAAGTTTACTAGACAGAGGAATAAATAGATGGTTAGAAGCATGATAAAGCAATACAGCAAAATGTTCATGGTAGAATCTACATGGTGGGTATATGGACACTAATTTAAAATTCTTTCAACTTTTCTGTATGTTTGAAATTTAAAAAAATAAAATGTTAGGGAAAGGGTTAGATAAATTGTGAATTTTTCCAAAATTTCAGTTATTTGGCTTCCAAAAAAAAAAAACGTATTTTTCTTAGAAAAGGCCTTGAATTTCTCTGGATATTTTATACTTCTAACTATCTACATTGTCTGGTCCCCCTGGTGACTAAATGCATATATTTTAGGAAGGGCTAAAACACAGCGAAGGTAATTAATCAGACCCCATGGAGACTGAAGGCTTAACCTTGACATCAGTAGTGACAAGCATAGTCAACTGAGCTACATAGCCTAAGTAAAAAGAAATAACCCTATGGAATGCTAATCTATAGATATGCAAATGAATTAGCTCTATAACTTATCAAATCTGAACTACATGAGGTACCCTGAAAATTGATAACTGTTCCATACTTTAATGGAAAAACACCAGGAAAAAAAAACTTTGATGTAACTTTCATTCTTTCAAGAAGAATATGTATCACTAACACCTTTATGAGAAAATTCTTATTTCCCTAGGGAACACTATTGGGCAGTTAAGAAAACAGGCAGTTTCTGAGGGCCTTTTTGTTTATTAGGGAGTAAGATTAAAAGAAAATCTCTGGCTGTGATTTCTTGGGCGAAAGGATGTAGGGAGAACTGGTTTCTTTGGAATTTTTTCTGATACAGGCTCAGGGGAATGGGTATGATTTTAATACATGAGCTGCTGTTTTCCATACTAAGTAATGCTTTTTCTTACTCAACATCTCTCTTCATCATCACTGCACAGTGAGGCTGGGCTCAGGCTTGCCGGTTTCTGCCTCAGAAGGCACACTGCAGATAATTTAGAGTCAGATTCTGGGCTTTTGAGTTTCTAAGCAGGCCTTTGAAATTCATGAGAGAAAAACAAGGGTTTTAATTTACAAAAGCTGTGTTTTCTGGGAGAGAAAACCATTTTGAGTTACAAAATTTTGGTTGGAGAATCAAAAACAAAGCTCTGAAGAAATCAGAGCATACAGTATAAGCCATCACCACTGGCTCTCCACCTGGCTGTATGATAGAACCACCTGGGGACGTTTTCTAAAAACGTCATTGCCTGGACTGGGTCTAGACCAGTTGAATGGAAATCTCTTGCTGTGGGGGCTCAGTACTGGTATTTTTAAAGTCTCCCCCCTAATACCCACACACTAGGTGATTCTCATGGGCAGTCAGTTGAGAACACTGCCCAACTCAACAGAATAGAAACTCAATAGATGACCATGCAGACTTCCCTGCTCTTTAAAACTAGGTCAGAGGTACTTGAATTATCAGGCTAGAGTCAGATTAGAGCTCCAGGCTTATATGTTGCTGTGGGCCTCTGGGAAAGGGTCCTGCTCCTTGGAGGGTGATGGAATCTTAGATAGAGTTGGTGGGGGTACCTAAAAGTGAGAAAAGTGCCTCGTTACTGAACCAAACCTGGGTCCATTGGCCCAGCACAGTAAAGACAAATATCTGTACCAAAGTTTGCAGCAAGAAAAAGGAGGGCATTTATTTGCAGGGTGCCAAGCAAGGAAAATCAGACAGCTATTGTGTGAGATCCTACTTCCCCAGTGGCTTATAAGCAAGGGTTTTTAAAGACAGGGGAACATTTTTGGAAACAGAAGTTACAGGTATGAAAAAAAAATAGAACCTTGGGACCCCGAACTCACTATACCAAAGTGCAAGTTAAGCTTAGAAGCTGAGTCACAAATACTGTCTTCCTTTGGCTCCCAGATAGCTGTAATTTCACAACCCCATGTCATAGCCTCATTTCCTCTACTCCCTCTTTCCACATTTGCTTCATCTTATGTAAAATGTAGACTCACTGAGTGTGAGAGAATGCATCATTGACTTTTTCCTCTATTCCCTCTTTTCACATGTAAAATGTAGATTTACTGAGGCTAATAAGAGCCTCACAAGAATGTGACCACCTGCCTCACTGCCTGCCTCCTTTTCTTCCCCCTGCTGCTTGCAGTTCCCCTTTTGTGAACTGAAGTTCACAAAACCCCCTTTGGAAAAAACATAAATCACAGGAGCATCTGTAATTTATGCTTTTTCCCAGGCGCATCCTCAGCTTTGGCCAAATAAACCTCTAATGGATGGAGACTTGCTTCAGTCACTTTTTGGTTTACATTTTGGTAACCACAAAGGGGCTTTCTGAGTGGAGTTGGCTCTTGGCCTGTAGCAACTCTCCTACTGGGGCCCTAGTACCAGCTGGAGCTCTTTATTGCTCTGACCTATTGGATGATTTGCTGAAGTCTGAGAGTTTCTCCCTCCAGAGATCCCTAATCACTCAAAAATTTCCAGTTGAGATCTGAAGTTTATTCCACTGCAGAACTCCTTTTCTGAGAGTTCTTACTTCTAACAAGGAAGAAGACTTTCCTGCTTCCGTGATGGCAGAGAGCAGTTTTCAGCTTGTGCCCCATCTCCAGGTAAGGAGCTGGTTTGGGGTGTCATTTGGGGATTTAGTAGCTGAAAGTCAAGGCTTACCGTCAGTTGGCTATAATTTCTCCTCATGCTCAGAAATCTCAATTTTATGCAAATTGTTTGATTGCTTTTTTGTGTTTTTTGTCTGTTTGTTTCTGTCCATCTTCCGTTAGATTTAATGAACTTCTGGCCCCCTCTAAAGCTGACTAAAATCCCTGCAGCTGTAGAAAGTCAAATTCCACCTCTAAAAACCCCAGCCACTTAAGAAAAATCAAAATTTGACTATCTGAAATGTTTCATATAAGACGACTGCCTTTCCAGGTTCTCTCTCTCATTGTGCTATTAATTTAAAGATTTTAGAGATCTCCTATTCTAAACTATTAACGAAAAGATCAGATATTTTAAAGGGAGCCTAATAGTTTCATGGCTAGCCTTAAAAATTATCTTGACTAAATTAAGAGCAAAATCTGACCGAAAATAGTTCTGGTGGTTAAAATTTCCACCACAGCTTGGGTTTGCTTCCTGATTAGGGAACAACAATGGCCATTCCACCTGGTGGCCTAATTGTTAAAACCCTCCACAGCATGGGTTTGATTCCTGGTCAGGGAACCAGCCTGTCTTGGTTTAATATTTATGTGGCTTTGGGGGTACCAATGTACTATTGATCTTTTCCCCTTCTGTGGACAGCTTTTGATTTCCTGTCTTCTGTCTGTGTTGGGGGACCCAAGGCTCTTGGGTCTTCATGTATGGACAGTAAGCTGAAAAGCTAAGACCCTAGAAAATATGGCCTGAAAGAAATGTGGGTTAGACCCTGTTTATGGCTAGTGAAAGTTTCCTTTCTCTTAGTTATTTTTGGGGTGATTCTGGATCTTGTAAAAACTACTTGTCACCTCTTTGGAGATACCTCGTGCGTGCATTTGTGGTTATAACTTCGGTTAAGGTAACTGAGAGGATATCTTTGGTAAGGATGTTCAAAAGCCAAAAATATCAGCTATTTGTCCCAGCTAAAATCTGGTAATAAGAGATTTGAAGGGATTATTTTAAAAATCTGAGTGGAATTGGCTTACTCCAAAACTCCAAATCTACGAGTAGAAGTCAGCTTAATTAAAAGTTGATATCTAAGGTAGATGATATATATATATGGCCATTACTCTTTTTCTCTTTTTGGATTCTATTTTTAGGAATTTTTTAGTTGACTGAAACATTAAAATAACATTACATGCTTGGTACTTCTGCTCACTTCCTTTCTTAAAAATTGTTCTATTTATTTTTACTCCACCCTGTTCCTCCTTCCTCTTTGCCATCTTCAGTCTCTTTTGGATTTTGTTACCTAAACTGTTTGGCTTTTGGGGGTACCAGAAATTGTTTTGTATTGTGAAAAAAAGACTTGACCATGGAGTATATATTAAATAGGGAATGAGTTGATCACAGAGTGGGCTGATTGGCTTGGGTTGTTCACTGGCCTCTGGGGAATGTCCTTATAGAGAGGAACACTGTGGAAGTGTAACCGTCCAATGAGTTCACCTTGCCCACTGCCTAGACAAAGCCAATTTATCAAGACAGGGGAATCGTAATGGAGAAAGAGTAATTCACACACAGCTGGCTATGTGGGAGACTGGAGTTTTATTATTACATTTGGGGATCCGAATTTTTAAAGATAATTTGGCGGGCAGGGGCTTCGGAAGTGGGGGCTGGTGATTGGTCAGGTTGGAGATGGAATCATAGGGGGTCGAAGTGAGTTTTTCTTGCTGTCTTCTGTTCCTGGGTGGGATGGCAGAACTGGTTGAGCCAGATTACAGGTCTGAGTGGTGTCAGCTGATCCATGGAGTGCAGAGTCTGTAAAATATCTCAAGCACTCACCTTAGGTTTTACAATAGTGATGTTATCCCCAGGAGCAATTTGGGGAGGTTCAGATTCTTGGAACCAGAGGCTGCATGACCTCCAAACTGTACTTTCTAATCTTATAGGTAATTTGTTAGTCCTGCCTAGGCAGACTGGTTCCCAGGCAAGAAGGGGGTCTTTTCTGGAAAGGACTATTATCAATTTTGTTTCAGAATCAAACCATGAACTGAGTTCCTTCCCAAAGTTAGTTCGGCCTATGCCCAGGAATGAACAAGAACAGCTTAAAGGTTAGAAGCAAGATGGAGTCGGTTAGGTCTGATTTCTTTCACTGTCATAATTTCCTCAGTTATAATTTTGCAAAGGCAGTTTCAGTTTTCCAATTTATATATATTTGGATCAGGTTTACATTAATTACAATGTTAACTCTTAGCAACTCTTATTTTTAGTGAAAAACCTAAGAGGTGCCATTTTTAATTATGTATCAGATGCAGAGCTCAGGACAAAAAACAGAGCTGCAGATAAGGCATGGCCCTTCCCAGCTGAACCAGGAGGCATAGCTGGGCCAGGGAGAGTGCCACCTGTCTTTAGGCCTTACTGTAACCATTTTTTTTTAGAGCCTGGATTTTTTATAAAAGTATATAAGGAAAGTAAGATGAGTTTTGATAAAAAAAAAATAATAAGAAGGCATAGAAATGTGATTTTTGTTAAAGGGAAAGTAATTTTACCTGGTTTAGAGGATTTTTATTATTTTTAATTAAAGAAGTAAAAACAGTGTCAAGTAAAGCTATATGAATATAGAAAGGTGAAAAAGAATGTAAATTTTTGTCCTAAGGTACAATGACAGGACAAAACTGAAGGTTTAAGCAAGTTATAGAAAGTTTATGAAATTGAGCTTGTGAAAGGAATTCTGTGTGTGCTTAAATTGGCTAAAATGTAAAAGGGATTATTTAGTTTTCCTATAAGTTAAGCATTAATATCAAAAGCACACCGATGTGAGAGTCTGGGCCCCTGTGTCAGACTAACAGGGTTTTATTTGTTTGTTTCTTTTCTGTAGGGTCGATCCACTCTATAACAAAAGATTGAAAAAGTTTTTTAAAGGCTTATGGAAATCTTACCTTGTGGTCTAACTGATTGAGATTGGACGGTTTTGTTTATTTATAAGGTTTTATGAAAAATTAGCTTTAAGTCATTGTTCTCCTAAGGCAGGAAATGGCTGTGATTCCTGATCTGAAGAGTTTTATCTTGGGTAGTACTGGTTTCCAGTGATCGACGGTTTAGGTACACAGGATTTGGAAAAGGAGTAAAATGGATTATGTTGGCCTCCACCAACTAGAGCAGGACAGGCTGAAAGAATTGTTGACAAAAGGAAAAATAAGAAGGGAAGACAGAGTATTTGGTTTGATGGAAGGGCTATGACAGTGAGGATCACACTTGGAAACCAGAGTGCCATCTCGTGAAACATGAGGAATGCAGACACCACGTCAAAAAGCAGAAAGAGAGCACACTGACCAGAACAAATAGCACTCTCCAAACAATGCTAGGAAATAAATCTCCAGATCCACCAACAGAAGCTTTGATAAGACCTCTCCTAAGTCACTAGAGATTGGCAAACACTATGAGTCTAAAAACAGCCAGTTGTTTGCTGCTACCCAGAAGTTCAGGAAAAACACAGCTCCATCTCTCTCTAGCTGGAAGAATATTGACCTAGCAAAGTCAAGTATCAAGATATTTGTGTTTATGAGCCCCATTAAGAGCAGGACCACAGAGAATGGCTTTCAGAACAAGAGCCCCCAGAAACTGGACCCTGTTGAGCAGGGTCAGGAGAATATGGTGGTGACTGAATAGCCAGTTGGAGCTATAGAATAGCGGCTGGAGAATAGTAAGTTGGAGCTTTATTGGACCCCTGTGCATAGAGCAGGTCAGGATGGGAAACAGGCCCTGAATACACCCACTAGTGCCTCAGGTGTCTGGCCCCATGACTACAGCCATGACCAGGGCCCTAGTTGTTAATGGGAAAGGTACGAGGCAGAGGTTGCAGTGAGCTGAGATGGCACCACAGTATTCCAGCCTGGGCAACAGAGTGAGACTCTGTCTCAAAAAAAAAAAAAAAAAAAAAAAAGAGAAATCCAAAGTGCTTTGAGCACAGCCGCTGCTGAAAACAGCAAGCTTATGCTACTCAGTGCCATTGGCAGTGCCTTCTGTTGTGCACTTGACTTTATTTATTTTATATAGCATTCAACAAATGACAGCAAAAGAGAAAGCACTAGAACAGCAGAAGCTACCAGAAACTTTGTGAATACTTTCATACAGTTTCAGAAATCTATTATTGTAGTAGTCAATGGCCCAGCCATTAGGCTAAGCGCATCTATATTGCCTCTTTGCAATGTGGTCTGTACTAATGAAAAGGCTTGGTTTCCACCGCTCTTTACTATCTTTGGACAGAATCCAGATGGCTGTTCTACCATTGTTTCCTAAAGTAATGGAAGGGGCATTTGCAAATGAGATATTGCTCAGTGGGCAGAAGATGACCACACAGGAAGCCTGTGGTAAAGGTCTGGTAGCCCAGGTATTTTGGCCCGGGACCTTCACCCAGGAAGTTATGATTTGAATTACGGAGTTTGCCTCATGTAATCCAGTTGTGCTTGAGGAATCCGAAGCCCTTGTGTGCCGCAACATGAAGATGGAGTTGGAGCAGGCCAATGAGAGGGAGTGCAAAGTGCTGAAGAAAATCTGGGGCTTGGCCAAACTGATGGACTCCATGTTAAAGTGCTTGCAGAGGAAAATTGATGAGTTGTGACCGTTAAGCTGCCAGCTGATGTCACTGGGATGGGCTGAGCAGAAGAACATCATTGGTTTCCCTAATCCATTCTTGCAGCCTGAAATAAGCTCACGCATAGTTCATGCTTGGAAGCAGGACTGGAAATACCCAAGTTATTTATTATCAAGAAGTTTTTAAGTACTGTAGCTTTAAAATAAGTAACTACAAAGCTGCTTTGTCCACACAAGTGTAAAAGTATAATGGTGAGCACTAGACTGCTCTTGGAAGCTCTAATTTTCGTTTTCTTTGGCTAGTACAATATAAAAAAATGGAATTCTGTTTTATTAGTTTTGAATTGCAGAAAAGTCTAGAGTAATGTTTGATAATGTTTTTCTCATCTTTTTCTTCTAGAATACAGAATCTAAAGGGGTATCAGCCAGCCTCCCTAACACAGAGATACAGAATGTCTGAGGTATTGCCTTTGTCTCCAAGAAGGTACAAATACTTCAGAGATGGGAAATTCTAAATCAAAAGTGAGACTTAGCTTGTAAGATAAATCTTTCTGATTAAAAATCCACTGGCGAGCACACCCCTAAACCAAACATATGCTTAGGATTCATGCTGAGATACCAATTGGTTTCCTCTTCTTTTTTAAATATGTCCAGCTCTTTCCCAGTTAGCATGAAGAAACCACTGTCTCTCTAAAAGAAAGCTTGTTTTGTAATATTAGTGAATCACTAAATAGCTTAATCTTGAATATCTAAGTTATGTTAGTCTTACCAAGCTTTAAATAGTTTTTCTGACCCTTAAAAAAAAAATAAAAAATAAAAAATAACTCCAAAGTGCCTTTTATTACTGGGTCAGAAATATTACCTTATATGCAGTTTTCATTTTCTATTTGCAGATATGACTAATGTATTACATCAAAATAAAGTATTTTTATGTTTATAAAATGCAATTTTGAGGTTCACTTAGAATATATTTTATTTAATAAGTTAAAGTTCTTTTAACATAGTATTAGTTGCAGAAACTCCTTTCAAAACAAAAAAAGAACTACCTTATTTTCAACTTTTAATGTTCTTGGCCTCTGCTTTTATGTCTATACAATATACTAATACAATATGGCGTCCAAGAGTGCCCTGTGTGGGTAGACAAGTGAATTCCTTCCAGGAGTGAGTACTCATTCCAGACTACAGATGCTTACTGTATTAGTCTGTTCTCACGCTGCTAATAAAGACATAACTGAGACTGGGTAATTTATAAAGGAAAGAAGTTTAATGAACTCACAGTTCCACATGGCTGTGGAGGCCTCACAATCATGGCAGATGGCAAAGGAGAAGCAAAGCCATGTCCTACATGGCAGCAGGCAAGAGTGCTTGTGCAGAGGAACTCCTATTTATAAAACCATCAGATCTCATAGGACTTATTCACTACCACAAGAACAGTATGGGGAGAACTGTCCCCAAGATTCAGTTATCTCCACCCGGCCCCACCCTTGACACATAGGGATTATGACAATTCAAGGTGAGATTTGGGTGGGTATATAGCCAAACCATATCACTTATTATTAGTTAGGCTTCTGAGTTTGCAATCATATTGAATGTATGAAGAGTGAAAAAAAATCAAAACCTTATTTCTGTACAATGTTGAAGTTTATACTCAGAACTGACCACCACCCCAGCCATGCAAAGTGCTGTACAGTGTGTAAATCTACCTTTACCTTGGATTGATGGGTACAGTAGTTTTGCATCTGTGGGGCCTACCTTTTCATTCAGTAGTTTGAACTATATATAAACTGCATAATCTGTAAAGTTTTTATAGAATAAGTATTCAGCTGTGAAAACTGGTTAAATCAAACTAACATTTCTTACACACAAACACATATACATATACATACATACATACAATTAGCTTTTAATAATACACTAAATACAAAGGTAAATTTGGTTTTCTCTTTTGAACAAGATTTTCATGTAACATTAAGAGAGAATAAAATGTTTTTGTTTACCTTGTAATCCAAAATTAAAATTCTAAGCCCTCAGCTGACTAAATGGATCCCTCTCTTGCAAGGTGGTCCCAAAGAAACCTGAAAAACTAGCTCAGGTGTGATGGGAAGGGAAAGCTGGACAGGCCTCGTTATACCCTCCTCTCTTTGGAATTTAGGCACAACCAACCAATGTTAACATTAAAATAGAGATCACAAGACTGACCAAACAGACTCTTTGGACACCAAATTCCAACCTGACTCTGGTATGGCATCACATGACAGACAGTAAGCCCTGAAGGAAATCAAAGTGTTTTACCCCAAAATGTATTTTTTTACATATTTTGAAATGACTCTGCAAAGCTGTCTCTGTGAGAGAAATTTGCAATCTGTAAAGAATCTCCTTCCCTTGCTAGGTCTTCTTCTGGAGAGTCTGACACCTTGTAAGGCCCAGTAGGGGAAATTTACCATCTATTCTCTCTGAAACCTCCTATCTGGAAGCTTCAGCTACATGACAAGAACCCTGGCTTCCACAGCACCCCTTATCTCAACTCAAGCATTTCTTTATGCTAACTTCAAACTCTTCAGGCAAAGCTTAAGTCTTTCAATCAATTGCCAATCAGAAAACCTTTGGATCCACCTTTGACCTGGAAGCCCCTACTTCAAGATGTCCTACCTTTCTGGGCCAAACCAATGTAAACCTTCCATGTATTGATTTATGCTTTTGCCTGTAATTTCTGCCTCCCTAAAATGTATCTTATATAAAATATAGATTTATTGGGAATGAGACAATGCATTATTGACTTTTCCACTACTCCCTATTTTCATATGTAAAACGTAGATTTAGTAAGGCTACTTAGAGCCTCACAAGAATGTAATGATCTGCCTCACTGCCTCCCTCCCTCCTATTTGCTCTTTCCCCTTTAAATACTGAAGTTCACGACACCCTTGGCAAAAGCGTAGATCACAAATTCTCCTATGATTTGTGGTTTTCCCAGGCATGTCCTCCACTTTGGCTAAATAAACCTCTAATCAATTGAGACACCTACCTCAGTCACCTTTTGGTTTACACAGGCAAAACTGTAAATCAATACATGGAGGTTACATTGGTTTGGCCCCAAAAGGCAGGATATCTTGATGCAGGGGGTTTACAGGTCATACGTAGATTCAGAGATTCTTTGATTTGCAATTGGTTAAGGAAGCAAGGCTTTGTCTAAAAACTTAGGGTTAACAAAAAAAAATGTTAAGGTGTGGCCTGTGGATGTGAATTTCTCTAGGCCCCTCAGGAAGAAATTTAGAACAAAGAATGGTGGACAGAGTTCAGTCTTCAGCTCCCCCTTATCTGTGGTCTACATGGCAGCAGTTGGCATTTCCCATCTGATAGGAGTCTGAAAAACAACGCAGGGATATATGTGAAGATGTCATCTTTAGTTTCTACAGGGAAACAAACATCTTGTGGCTTTAATTTTCCTGGGTGGCTATTGTTTTAAGCTATCGTTACCTTCTTGCTTATCAGGTTGCTTATTTACATCTCAAGGTTAACTAGGTTCCTGGAATGTCTCTTGAAGGAACTCAAGATTTTCCTTTATTTCCATGCTTGGCTTCCTTATTATGGGCCCCTGTTCTGTCTCAGCCTTGTTCCCAGTCAATGTTCTAGAAGATGGCAGACCTCACAGAGAGTTCTTGGGGGCAAGATGGTATGGCAGCTCTAGAGTAAAAATGATAGCATTCCAGGACAAGGAGGGCACAGCAAATAAGTCTGAAATGGACATCTGAGACCACAGACAGCTCCATAGTTGTCAGTGTGGACTACCAAGGACCAGAGCCCACCACCACTTCCACCTCCATGGCATGCTTTATCCAGCACATAGACACCCCTCTCCCCAGCTCTTCCCAGGGCAAAGGAGAAATAAATAGGTGAAATCTGAATTGATTGAGTTTAAGTGTGATTTAACTATAAAAATGCTAAACTGACTTTGTTAAGCAAGAGTTGACTAGAATACATCTTGTAACAACTGGGATAAAAGGAGGTTGAAATAGAGATTAAGTGATTTTTTTCCATCACCAACAGAACCCTAACTTTACTCAGAATGTCAATGTGTATAGCTAAAAACAACATTGCTAAGTATCCTTTGCAGAAGGTGTGGTCAACAGGGAAATTAGAGGTTGTGGGGTGGAGCTTGTTGAAAAGCTGTCTTTAAAATGAAATGTCTTGGCTAGGCATGGTGACTCACACCTGTAATCCCAGCACTTTGGGAGGTCAAGGCAGGCGGATCACCTGAGGTCAGGAGTTCGAGACCAGCCTGGCCAAAATGGTGAAACCCTGTCTCTACTAAAAATACAAAACTTAGCCAGGCATGCTGGCACATGCCTGTAGTCCCAGCTACTCAGGAGGCTGAGGCAGGAGAATCGCTTGAACCCAGGAGACAGAGGTTGCAGTGAGCAGAGATCACATCACTGCACTCCAGACTGGGAGACAGAGCAAGACTCCATCTCAAAAATAAATAAATAAATAAATAAATAAATGGAGTGCCTTGGCTGGCAATTGCTCCTCATCCCTTTTCTTTCCTTCTTCCTCCTCTGGACAGAATGGCTGGAGCAGTAGCTACCACTTTGTG
The DNA here is from genome assembly GCF_000001405.40 of Homo sapiens. Taxonomy (NCBI): domain Eukaryota; kingdom Metazoa; phylum Chordata; class Mammalia; order Primates; family Hominidae; genus Homo; species Homo sapiens. Next base: position 671 of record NW_017363813.1, on the reverse strand, counting down.
ACCAAGAAGGAAAGGCTGAGAGAATCACAGAGACCTTAACTCTGGTGTCATTGAACTACCCGCTTTCAGACTCCTCACTATGTGAGAAAAATGACTCCCCAATTTGCCTGAGCCTCTGTTTCTTAGGTTTCTAAATAGACAGCCAAATGTAATTCTGAATCAATACAAATAAAAATGTTAAAACCTCTCAGAGGTATTCATTGTTGATGAGTTGTTATATATTCTTCCAGACTTTTAACACTTTACATTTATGTGCAATATTATAAAAAGTAAGATTTTTTTAGTATCATAAAAATAAAGATTCCTTAAATCTTTAAGAATAAGAGCTAATGTCTTTAAAAATAAGGTTCTACACTGTAGAATTTGGTGTGAATGTGAAAGTCAAGCTTTATTTAAATGACAAATGTCTTGAAAATCCACATGAAGCTAAGTGTCTTTTGTGGATCACACATTATTGGATGTCTGTAGAACTTTTTAAAGGGTCTGTAGGAGGGGGAAAATAATTTTCTCTTCTGCCCTTCATGAGTTCTTAGCTGGAACTCCATTTAACAAAAGACAGATTAACAAGAGAAAAGCAAACAAAAGTTTAATAATGTGTACCTCTTGTATACAAAGGAGAAAACAAGATCAATGAGTACATCTCTAGAGTAGATCTCAAAAGGGTAGTCTTA